>NC_000007.14:59356517-59509217 GCF_000001405.40 Homo sapiens | reverse complement strand
TCTGTCGAGCATGAAATGAAGAAATCCCGTTTCCAACGAAGGCCTCAATGCGGTCCATATATCCACTTGCAGACTTTACAAACAGAGTGTTTCCAAACTGCTCTATGAAAAGAAAGGTTAAACTATGTGAGTTGAACGCACACATCACAAAGAATTTTCTGAGAATGATTCTGTCTGGTTTTTATTTGAAGATATTTCCCTTTCTACTGTTGGCATCAAATGGCTAGAAATCTCCACTTGCAAATTCCGCAAAAAGAGTGTTTCAAATCTGCTCTGTCTAAAGGGACGTTCCACTCTGTGAGTTGAATGCACACAACACAAAGAATTTACTGAGAATTCTTCCGTCTAGCATTCAATGAAGAAATCCCGTTTCCAACGAAGGCCTCAAACAGGTCCATATATCCACTTGCAGACTTTACAAACAGTGTGTTTCCAAACTCCTCTATGAAAAGAAAGGTTAAACTCTGTGAGTGGAACGCACACATCACAAAGCACTTTCTGAGAATGATTCTGTCTGGTTATTATACGAAGATATTTCCTTTTCTGCAATTGTCCTCAAAACGCTTGAAATCTCCACCTGAAAATGCCACAGCAAGAGTGTTTCAAATCTGCTCTCTCTAAAGCAAGGTTCAACTCTGTGAGTTGAATACACACAACACAAAAAAGTTACTGAGAACTCTTCTTAGTCTAGCATGAAAGGAAGAAACCCCGTTTGCAACGAAGGCCTCAAAGAGGTCCAAATATCCACTTGCAGACATAACAAGCAGAGTGTTTCTAAACTGCTCTAAGAAAAGAAAGGTTAAACTCTGTGAGTTGAAGGCACACATCACAAAGTAGTTTCTGAGAATGATTCTGTCTAGTTTTTATTTGAAGATATTTCCTTTTCTACTGTTGGCATCAAATCGCTTGAAATCTCCACTTGCAAATTCCACAAAAAGAGTGTTTCAAATCTGCTCTGTGCAAAGGGACGTTCCACTCTGTGAGTTGAATACACACAGCACAAAGAAGTTACTGAGAATTCTTCTGTCTAGCATGAAATGAAGAAATCCCGTTTCCAACGAAGGCCTCAATGCGGTCCATAGATCCACTTGCAGACTTTACAAACAGAGTGTTTCCAAACTGCTCTATGAAAAGAAAGGTTAAACTATGTGAGTTGAACGCACACATCACAAAGAATTTTCTGAGAATGATTCTGTCTGGTTTTTATTTGAAGATATTTCCCTTTCTACTGTTGGCATCAAATGGCTAGAAATCTCCACTTGCAAATTCCGCAAAAAGAGTGTTTCAAATCTGCTCTGTCTAAAGGGACGTTCCACTCTGTGAGTTGAATGCACACAACACAAAGAATTTACTGAGAATTCTTCCGTCTAGCATTCAATGAAGAAATCCCGTTTCCAACGAAGGCCTCAAACAGGTCCATATATCCAATTGCAGACTTTACAAACAGTGTGTTTCCAAACTCCTCTATGGAAAGAAAGGTTAAACTCTGTGAGTTGAACGCACACATCACAAAGCACTTTCTGAGAATGATTCTGTCTGGTTATTATACGAAGATATTTCCTTTTCTGCAATTGTCCTCAAATCGCTTGAAATCTCCACCTGAAAATGCCACAGCAAGAGTGTTTCAAATCTGCTCTCTCTAAAGCAAGGTTCAACTCTGTGAGTTGAATACACACAACACAAAAAAGTTACTGAGAACTCTTCTTAGTCTAGCATGAAAGGAAGAAACCCCGTTTGCAACGAAGGCCTCAAAGAGGTCCAAATATCCACTTGCAGACATAACAAGCAGAGTGTTTCTAAACTGCTCTAAGAAAAGAAAGGTTAAACTCTGTGAGTTGAAGGCACACATCACAAAGTAGTTTCTGAGAATGATTCTGTCTAGTTTTTATTTGAAGATATTTCCTTTTCTACTGTTGGCATCAAATCGCTTGAAATCTCCACTTGCAAACTCCACAAAAAGAGTGTTTCAAATCTGCTCTGTGTAAAGGGACGTTCCACTCTGTGAGTTGAATACACACAGCACAAAGAAGTTACTGAGAATTCTTCTGTCTAGCATGAAATGAAGAAATCCCGTTTCCAACGAAGGCCTCAATGCGGTCCATATATCCACTTGCAGACTTTACAAACAGAGTGTTTCCAAACTGCTCTATGAAAAGAAAGGTTAAACTATGTGAGTTGAACGCACACATCACAAAGAATTTTCTGAGAATGATTCTGTCTGGTTTTTATTTGAAGATATTTCCCTTTCTACTGTTGGCATCAAATGGCTAGAAATCTCCACTTGCAAATTCCGCAAAAAGAGTGTTTCAAATCTGCTCTGTCTAAAGGGACGTTCCACTCTGTCAGTTGAATGCACACAACACAAAGAATTTACTGAGAATTCTTCCGTCTAGCATTCAATGAAGAAATCCCGTTTCCAACAAAGGCCTCAAACAGGTCCATATATCCAATTGCAGACTTTACAAACAGTGTGTTTCCAAACTCCTCTATGAAAAGAAAGGTTAAACTCTGTGAGTTGAACGCACACATCACAAAGCACTTTCTGAGAATGATTCTGTCTGGTTATTATACGAAGATATTTCCTTTTCTGCAATTGTCCTCAAATCGCTTGAAATCTCCACCTGAAAATGCCACAGCAAGAGTGTTTCAAATCTGCTCTCTCTAAAGCAAGGTTCAACTCTGTGAGTTGAATACACACAACACAAAAAAGTTACTGAGAACTTTTCTTAGTCTAGCATGAAAGGAAGAAACCCCGTTTGCAACGAAGGCCTCAAAGTAGGTCCAAATATCCACTTGCAGACATAACAAGCAGAGTGTTTCTAAACTGCTCTAAGAAAAGAAAGGTTAAACTCTGTGAGTTGAAGGCACACATCACAAAGTAGTTTCTGAGAATGATTCTGTCTAGTTTTTATTTGAAGATATTTCCTTTTCTACTGTTGGCATCAAATCGCTTGAAATCTCCACTTGCAAACTCCACAAAAAGAGTGTTTCAAATCTGCTCTGTGCAAAGGGACGTTCCACTCTGTGAGTTGAATACACACAGCACAAAGAAGTTACTGAGAATTCTTCTGTCTAGCATGAAATGAAGAAATCCCGTTTCCAACGAAGGCCTCAATGCGGTCCATATATCCACTTGCAGACTTTACAAACAGAGTGTTTCCAAACTGCTCTATGAAAAGAAAGGTTAAACTATGTGAGTTGAACGCACACATCACAAAGAATTTTCTGAGAATGATTCTGTCTGGTTTTTATTTGAAGATATTTCCCTTTCTACTGTTGGCATCAAATGGCTAGAAATCTCCACTTGCAAATTCCGCAAAAAGAGTGTTTCAAATCTGCTCTGTCTAAAGGGACGTTCCACTCTGTCAGTTGAATGCACACAACACAAAGAATTTACTGAGAATTCTTCCGTCTAGCATTCAATGAAGAAATCCCGTTTCCAACGAAGGCCTCAAACAGGTCCATATATCCACTTGCAGAGTTTACAAACAGTGTGTTTCCAAACTCCTCTATGAAAAGAAAGGTTAAACTCTGTGAGTGGAACGCACACATCACAAAGCACTTTCTGAGAATGATTCTGTCTGGTTGTTATACGAAGATATTTCCTTTTCTGCAATTGTCCTCAAATCGCTTGAAATCTCCACCTGAAAATGCCACAGCAAGAGTGTTTCAAATCTGCTCTCTCTAAAGCAAGGTTCAACTCTGTGAGTTGAATACACACAACACAAAAAAGTTACTGAGAACTCTTCTTAGTCTAGCATGAAAGGAAGAAACCCCGTTTGCAACGAAGGCCTCAAAGAGGTCCAAATATCCACTTGCAGACATAACAAGCAGAGTGTTTCTAAACTGCTCTAAGAAAAGAAAGGTTAAACTCTGTGAGTTGAAGGCACACATCACAAAGTAGTTTCTGAGAATGATTCTGTCTAGTTTTTATTTGAAGATATTTCCTTTTCTACTGATGGCATCAAATCGCTTGAAATCTCCACTTGCAAACTCCACAAAAAGAGTGTTTCAAATCTGCTCTGTGTAAAGGGACGTTCCACTCTGTGAGTTGAATACACACAGCACAAAGAAGTTACTGAGAATTCTTCTGTCTAGCATGAAATGAAGAAATCCCGTTTCCAACGAAGGCCTCAATGCGGTCCATATATCCACTTGCAGACTTTACAAACAGAGTGTTTCCAAACTGCTCTATGAAAAGAAAGGTTATACTATGTGAGTTGAACGCACACATCACAAAGAATTTTCTGAGAATGATTCTGTCTGGTTTTTATTTGAAGATATTTCCCTTTCTACTGTTGGCATCAAATGGCTAGAAATCTCCACTTGCAAATTCCGCAAAAAGAGTGTTTCAAATCTGCTCTGTCTAAAGGGACGTTCCACTCTGTGAGTTGAATGCACACAACACAAAGAATTTACTGAGAATTCTTCCGTCTAGCATTCAATGAAGAAATCCCGTTTCCAACGAAGGCCTCAAACAGGTCCATATATCCAATTGCAGACTTTACAAACAGTGTGTTTCCAAACTCCTCTATGAAAAGAAAGGTTAAACTCTGTGAGTGGAACGCACACATCACAAAGCACTTTCTGAGAATGATTCTGTCTGGTTGTTATACGAAGATATTTCCTTTTCTGCAATTGTCCTCAAATCGCTTGAAATCTCCACCTGAAAATGCCACAGCAAGAGTGTTTCAAATCTGCTCTCTCTAAAGCAAGGTTCAGCTCTGTGAGTTGAATACACACAACACAAAAAAGTTACTGAGAACTCTTCTTAGTCTAGCATGAAAGGAAGAAACCCCGTTTGCAACGAAGGCCTCAAAGAGGTCCAAATATCCACTTGCAGACATAACAAGCAGAGTGTTTCTAAACTGCTCTAAGAAAAGAAAGGTTAAACTCTGTGAGTTGAAGGCACACATCACAAAGTAGTTTCTGAGAATGATTCTGTCTAGTTTTTATTTGAAGATATTTCCTTTTCTACTGTTGGCATCAAATCGCTTGAAATCTCCACTTGCAAACTCCACAAAAAGAGTGTTTCAAATCTGCTCTGTGCAAAGGGACGTTCCACTCTGTGAGTTGAATACACACAGCACAAAGAAGTTACTGAGAATTCTTCTGTCTAGCATGAAATGAAGAAATCCCGTTTCCAACGAAGGCCTCAATGCGGTCCATATATCCACTTGCAGACTTTACAAACAGAGTGTTTCCAAACTGCTCTATGAAAAGAAAGGTTAAACTATGTGAGTTGAACGCACACATCACAAAGAATTTTCTGAGAATGATTCTATCTGGTTTTTATTTGAAGATGTTTCCCTTTCTACTGTTGGCATCAAATGGCTAGAAATCTCCACTTGCAAATTCCGCAAAAAGAGTGTTTCAAATCTGCTCTGTCTAAAGGGACGTTCCACTCTGTCAGTTGAATGCACACAACACAAAGAATTTACTGAGAATTCTTCCGTCTAGCATTCAATGAAGAAATCCCGTTTCCAACGAAGGCCTCAAACAGGTCCATATATCCACTTGCAGACTTTACAAACAGAGTGTTTCCAAACTGCTCTATGAAAAGAAAGGTTAAACTATGTGAGTTGAACGCACACATCACAAAGAATTTTCTGAGAATGATTCTGTCTGGTTATTATACGAAGATATTTCCTTTTCTGCAATTGTCCTCAAATCGCTTGAAATCTCCACCTGAAAATGCCACAGCAAGAGTGTTTCAAATCTGCTCTCTCTAAAGCAAGGTTCAACTCTGTGAGTTGAATACACACAACACAAAAAAGTTACTGAGAACTCTTTCTTAGTCTAGCATGAAAGGAAGAAACCCCGTTTGCAACGAAGGCCTCAAAGAGGTCCAAATATCCACTTGCAGACATAACAAGCAGAGTGTTTCTAAACTGCTCTAAGAAAAGAAAGGTTAAACTCTGTGAGTTGAAGGCACACATCACAAAGTAGTTTCTGAGAATGATTCTGTCTAGTTTTTATTTGAAGATATTTCCTTTTCTACTGTTGGCATCAAATCGCTTGAAATCTCCACTTGCAAATTCCACAAAAAGAGTGTTTCAAATCTGCTCTGTGCAAAGGGACGTTCCACTCTGTGAGTTGAATACACACAGCACAAAGAAGTTACTGAGAATTCTTCTGTCTAGCATGAAATGAAGAAATCCCGTTTCCAACGAAGGCCTCAATGCGGTCCATATATCCACTTGCAGACTTTACAAACAGAGTGTTTCCAAACTGCTCTATGAAAAGAAAGGTTAAACTACGTGAGTTGAACGCACACATCACAAAGAATTTTCTGAGAATGATTCTGTCTGGTTTTTATTTGAAGATATTTCCCTTTCTACTGTTGGCATCAAATGGCTAGAAATCTCCACTTGCAAATTCCGCAAAAAGAGTGTTTCAAATCTGCTCTGTCTAAAGGGACGTTCCACTCTGTGAGTTGAATGCACACAACACAAAGAATTTACTGAGAATTCTTCCGTCTAGCATTCAATGAAGAAATCCCGTTTCCAACGAAGGCCTCAAAGAGGTCCATATATCCACTTGCAGACTTTACAAACAGTGTGTTTCCAAACTCCTCTATGAAAAGAAAGGTTAAACTCTGTGAGTGGAACGCACACATCACAAAGCACTTTCTGAGAATGATTCTGTCTGGTTATTATACGAAGATATTTCCTTTTCTGCAATTGTCCTCAAATCGCTTGAAATCTCCACCTGAAAATGCCACAGCAAGAGTGTTTCAAATCTGCTCTCTCTAAAGCAAGGTTCAACTCTGTGAGTTGAATACACACAACACAAAAAAGTTACTGAGAACTCTTCTTAGTCTAGCATGAAAGGAAGAAACCCCGTTTGCAACGAAGGCCTCAAAGAGGTCCAAATATCCACTTGCAGACATAACAAGCAGAGTGTTTCTAAACTGCTCTAAGAAAAGAAAGGTTAAACTCTGTGAGTTGAAGGCACACATCACAAAGTAGTTTCTGAGAATGATTCTGTCTAGTTTTTATTTGAAGATATTTCCTTTTCTACTGTTGGCATCAAATCGCTTGAAATCTCCACTTGCAAATTCCACAAAAAGAGTGTTTCAAATCTGCTCTGTGCAAAGGGACGTTCCACTCTGTGAGTTGAATACACACAGCACAAAGAAGTTACTGAGAATTCTTCCGTCTAGCATTCAATGAAGAAATCCCGTTTCCAACGAAGGCCTCAAACAGGTCCATGTATCCACTTGCAGACTTTACAAACAGAGTGTTTCCAAACTGCTCTATGAAAAGAAAGGTTAAACTATGTGAGTTGAACGCACACATCACAAAGAATTTTCTGAGAATGATTCTGTCTGGTTTTTATTTGAAGATATTTCCCTTTCAACTGTTGGCATCAAATGGCTAGAAATCTCCACTTGCAAATTCCGCAAAAAGAGTGTTTCAAATCTGCTCTGTCTAAAGGGACGTTCCACTCTGTGAGTTGAATGCACACAACACAAAGAATTTACTGAGAATTCTTCCGTCTAGCATTCAATGAAGAAATCCCGTTTCCAACGAAGGCCTCAAACAGGTCCATATATCCAATTGCAGACTTTACAAACAGTGTGTTTCCAAACTCCTCTATGAAAAGAAAGGTTAAACTCTGTGAGTGGAACGCACACATCACAAAGCACTTTCTGAGAATGATTCTGTCTGGTTATTATACGAAGATATTTCCTTTTCTGCAATTGTCCTCAAATCGCTTGAAATCTCCACCTGAAAATGCCACAGCAAGAGTGTTTCAAATCTGCTCTCTCTAAAGCAAGGTTCAACTCTGTGAGTTGAATACACACAACACAAAAAAGTTACTGAGAACTCTTCTTAGTCTAGCATGAAAGGAAGAAACCCCGTTTGCAACGAAGGCCTCAAAGAGGTCCAAATATCCACTTGCAGACATAACAAGCAGAGTGTTTCTAAACTGCTCTAAGAAAAGAAAGGTTAAACTCTGTGAGTTGAAGGCACACATCACAAAGTAGTTTCTGAGAATGATTCTGTCTAGTTTTTATTTGAAGATATTTCCTTTTCTACTGTTGGCATCAAATCGCTTGAAATCTCCACTTGCAAACTCCACAAAAAGAGTGTTTCAAATCTGCTCTGTGCAAAGGGACGTTCCACTCTGTGAGTTGAATACACACAGCACAAAGAAGTTACTGAGAATTCTTCTGTCTAGCATGAAATGAAGAAATCCCGTTTCCAACGAAGGCCTCAATGCGGTCCATATATCCACTTGCAGACTTTACAAACAGAGTGTTTCCAAACTGCTCTATGAAAAGAAAGGTTAAACTATGTGAGTTGAACGCACACATCACAAAGAATTTTCTGAGAATGATTCTGTCTGGTTTTTATTTGAAGATATTTCCCTTTCTACTGTTGGCATCAAATGGCTAGAAATCTCCACTTGCAAATTCCGCAAAAAGAGTGTTTCAAATCTGCTCTGTCTAAAGGGACGTTCCACTCTGTGAGTTGAATGCACACAACACAAAGAATTTACTGAGAATTCTTCCGTCTAGCATTCAATGAAGAAATCCCGTTTCCAACGAAGGCCTCAAACAGGTCCATATATCCACTTGCAGACTTTACAAACAGTGTGTTTCCAAACTCCTCTATGAAAAGAAAGGTTAAACTCTGTGAGTTGAACGCACACATCACAAAGCACTTTCTGAGAATGATTCTGTCTGGTTATTATACGAAGATATTTCCTTTTCTGCAATTGTCCTCAAATCGCTTGAAATCTCCACCTGAAAATGCCACAGCAAGAGTGTTTCAAATCTGCTCTCTCTAAAGCAAGGTTCAACTCTGTGAGTTGAATACACACAACACAAAAAAGTTACTGAGAACTCTTCTTAGTCTAGCATGAAAGGAAGAAACCCCGTTTGCAACGAAGGCCTCAAAGAGGTCCAAATATCCACTTGCAGACATAACAAGCAGAGTGTTTCTAAACTGCTCTAAGAAAAGAAAGGTTAAACTCTGTGAGTTGAAGGCACACATCACAAAGTAGTTTCTGAGAATGATTCTGTCTAGTTTTTATTTGAAGATATTTCCTTTTCTACTGTTGGCATCAAATCGCTTGAAATCTCCACTTGCAAACTCCACAAAAAGAGTGTTTCAAATCTGCTCTGTGCAAAGGGACGTTCCACTCTGTGAGTTGAGTACACACAGCACAAAGAAGTTACTGAGAATTCTTCTGTCTAGCATGAAATGAAGAAATCCCGTTTCCAACGAAGGCCTCAATGCGGTCCATATATCCACTTGCAGACTTTACAAACAGAGTGTTTCCAAACTGCTCTATGAAAAGAAAGGTTAAACTATGTGAGTTGAACGCACACATCACAAAGAATTTTCTGAGAATGATTCTGTCTGGTTTTTATTTGAAGATATTTCCCTTTCTACTGTTGGCATCAAATGGCTAGAAATCTCCACTTGCAAATTCCGCAAAAAGAGTGTTTCAAATCTGCTCTGTCTAAAGGGACGTTCCACTCTGTCAGTTGAATGCACACAACACAAAGAATTTACTGAGAATTCTTCCGTCTAGCATTCAATGAAGAAATCCCGTTTCCAACGAAGGCCTCAAACAGGTCCATATATCCAATTGCAGACTTTACAAACAGTGTGTTTCCAAACTCCTCTATGAAAAGAAAGGTTAAACTCTGTGAGTTGAACGCACACATCACAAAGCACTTTCTGAGAATGATTCTGTCTGGTTGTTATACGAAGATATTTCCTTTTCTGCAATTGTCCTCAAATCGCTTGAAATCTCCACCTGAAAATGCCACAGCAAGAGTGTTTCAAATCTGCTCTCTCTAAAGCAAGGTTCAACTCTGTGAGTTGAATACACACAACACAAAAAAGTTACTGAGAACTCTTCTTAGTCTAGCATGAAAGGAAGAAACCCCGTTTGCAACGAAGGCCTCAAAGAGGTCCAAATATCCACTTGCAGACATAACAAGCAGAGTGTTTCTAAACTGCTCTAAGAAAAGAAAGGTTAAACTCTGTGAGTTGAAGGCACAGATCACAAAGTAGTTTCTGAGAATGATTCTGTCTAGTTTTTCTTTGAAGATATTTCCTTTTCTACTGTTGGCATCAAATCGCTTGAAATCTCCACTTGCAAACTCCACAAAAAGAGTGTTTCAAATCTGCTCTGTGTAAAGGGACGTTCCACTCTGTGAGTTGAATACACACAGCACAAAGAAGTTACTGAGAATTCTTCTGTCTAACATGAAATGAAGAAATCCCGTTTCCAACGAAGGCCTCAATGTGGTCCATATATCCACTTGCAGACTTTACAAACAGAGTGTTTCCAAACTGCTCTATGAAAAGAAAGGTTAAACTATGTGAGTTGAACGCACACATCACAAAGAATTTTCTGAGAATGATTCTGTCTGGTTTTTATTTGAAGATATTTCCCTTTCTACTGTTGGCATCAAATGGCTAGAAATCTCCACTTGCAAATTCCGCAAAAAGAGTGTTTCAAATCTGCTCTGTCTAAAGGGACGTTCCACTCTGTGAGTTGAATGCACACCACACAAAGAATTTACTGAGAATTCTTCCGTCTAGCATTCAATGAAGAAATCCCGTTTCCAACGAAGGCCTCAAACAGGTCCATATATCCACTTGCAGACTTTACAAACAGTGTGTTTCCAAACTCCTCTATGAAAAGAAAGGTTAAACTCTGTGAGTGGAACGCACACATCACAAAGCACTTTCTGAGAATGATTCTGTCTGGTTTTTATTTGAAGATATTTCCCTTTCTACTGTTGGCATCAAATGGCTAGAAATCTCCACTTGCAAATTCCGCAAAAAGAGTGTTTCAAATCTGCTCTGTCTAAAGGGACGTTCCACTCTGTGAGTTGAATGCACACAACACAAAGAATTTACTGAGAATTCTTCCGTCTAGCATGCAATGAAGAAATCCCGTTTCCAACGAAGGCCTCAAACAGGTCCATATATCCAATTGCAGACTTTACAAACAGTGTGTTTCCAAACTCCTCTATGAAAAGAAAGGTTAAACTCTGTGAGTTGAACGCACACATCACAAAGCACTTTCTGAGAATGATTCTGTCTGGTTATTATACGAAGATATTTCCTTTTCTGCAATTGTCCTCAAAACGCTTGAAATCTCCACCTGAAAATGCCACAGCAAGAGTGTTTCAAATCTGCTCTCTCTAAAGCAAGGTTCAACTCTGTGAGTTGAATACACACAACACAAAAAAGTTACTGAGAACTCTTCTTAGTCTAGCATTAAAGGAAGAAACCCCGTTTGCAACGAAGGCCTCAAAGAGGTCCAAATATCCACTTGCAGACATAACAAGCAGAGTGTTTCTAAACTGCTCTAAGAAAAGAAAGGTTAAACTCTGTGAGTTGAAGGCACACATCACAAAGTAGTTTCTGAGAATGATTCTGTCTAGTTTTTATTTGAAGATATTTCCTTTTCTACTGTTGGCATCAAATCGCTTGAAATCTCCACTTGCAAACTCCACAAAAAGAGTGTTTCAAATCTGCTCTGTGTAAAGGGACGTTCCACTCTGTGAGTTGAATACACACAGCACAAAGAAGTTACTGAGAATTCTTCTGTCTAGCATGAAATGAAGAAATCCCGTTTCCAACGAAGGCCTCAATGCGGTCCATATATCCACTTGCAGACTTTACAAACAGAGTGTTTCCAAACTGCTCTATGAAAAGAAAGGTTAAACTATGTGAGTTGAACGCACACATCACAAAGAATTTTCTGAGAATGATTCTGTCTGGTTTTTATTTGAAGATATTTCCCTTTCTACTGTTGGCATCAAATGGCTAGAAATCTCCACTTGCAAATTCCGCAAAAAGAGTGTTTCAAATCTGCTCTGTCTAAAGGGACGTTCCACTCTGTGAGTTGAATGCACACAACACAAAGAATTTACTGAGAATTCTTCCGTCTAGCATTCAATGAAGAAATCCCGTTTCCAACGGAGGCCTCAAACAGGTCCATATATCCAATTGCAGACTTTACAAACAGTGTGTTTCCAAACTCCTCTATGAAAAGAAAGGTTAAACTCTGTGAGTTGAACGCACACATCACAAAGCACTTTCTGAGAATGATTCTGTCTGGTTATTATACGAAGATATTTCCTTTTCTGCAATTGTCCTCAAATCGCTTGAAATCTCCACCTGAAAATTCCACAGCGAGAGTGTTTCAAATCTGCTCTCTCTAAAGCAAGGTTCAACTCTGTGAGTTGAATACACACAACACAAAAAAGTTACTGAGAACTCTTCTTAGTCTAGCATTAAAGGAAGAAACCCCGTTTGCAACGAAGGCCTCAAAGAGGTCCAAATATCCACTTGCAGACATAACAAGCAGAGTGTTTCTAAACTGCTCTAAGAAAAGAAAGGTTAAACTCTGTGAGTTGAAGGCACACATCACAAAGTAGTTTCTGAGAATGATTCTGTCTAGTTTTTATTTGAAGATATTTCCTTTTCTACTGTTGGCATCAAATCGCTTGAAATCTCCACTTGCAAACTCCACAAAAAGAGTGTTTCAAATCTGCTCTGTGTAAAGGGACGTTCCACTCTGTGAGTTGAATACACACAGCACAAAGAAGTTACTGAGAATTCTTCTGTCTAGCATGAAATGAAGAAATCCCGTTTCCAACGAAGGCCTCAATGCGGTCCATAGATCCACTTGCAGACTTTACAAACAGAGTGTTTCCAAACTGCTCTATGAAAAGAAAGGTTAAACTATGTGAGTTGAACGCACACATCACAAAGAATTTTCTGAGAATGATTCTGTCTGGTTTTTATTTGAAGATATTTCCCTTTCTACTGTTGACATCAAATGGCTAGAAATCTCCACTTGCAAATTCCGCAAAAAGAGTGTTTTTTCAAATCTGCTCTGTCTAAAGGGACGTTCCACTCTGTGAGTTCAATGCACACAACACAAAGAATTTACTGAGAATTCTTCCGTCTAGCATTCAATGAAGAAATCCCGTTTCCAACGGAGGCCTCAAACAGGTCCATATATCCAATTGCAGACATTACAAACAGTGTGTTTCCAAGCTCCTCTATGAAAAGAAAGGTTAAACTCTGTGAGTTGAACGCACACATCACAACGCACTTTCTGAGAATGATTCTGTCTGGTTATTATACGAAGATATTTCCTTTTCTGCAATTGTCCTCAAATCGCTTGAAATCTCCACCTGAAAATTCCACAGCAAGAGTGTTTCAAATCTGCTCTCTCTAAAGCAAGGTTCAACTCTGTGAGTTGAATACACACAACACAAAAAGTTACTGAGAACTCTTCTTAGTCTTGCATTAAAGGAAGAAACCCCGTTTGCAACGAAGGCCTCATAGAGGTCCAAATATCCACTTGCAGACATAACAAGCAGAGTGTTTCTAAACTGCTCTAAGAAAAGAAAGGTTAAACTCTGTGAGTTGAAGGCACACATCACAAAGTAGTTTCTGAGAATGATTCTGTCTAGTTTTTATTTGAAGATATTTCCTTTTCTACTGTTGGCATCAAATCGCTTGAAATCTCCACTTGCAAACTCCACAAAAAGAGTGTTTCAAATCTTCTCTGTGTAAAGGGACGTTCCACTCTGTGAGTTGAATACACACAGCACAAAGAAGTTACTGAGAATTCTTCTGTCTAGCATGAAATGAAGAAATCCCGTTTCCAACGAAGGCCTCAATGCGGTCCATATATCCACTTGCAGACTTTACAAACAGAGTGTTTCCAAACTGCTCTATGAAAAGAAAGGTTAAACTATGTGAGTTGAATGCACACATCACAAAGAATTTTCTGAGAATGATTCTGTCTGGTTTTTATTTGAAGATATTTCCCTTTCTACTGTTGGCATCAAATGGCTAGAAATCTCCACTTGCAAATTCCGCAAAAAGAGTGTTTCAAATCTGCTCTGTCTAAAGGGACGTTCCACTCTGTGAGTTGAATGCACACAACACAAAGAATTTACTGAGAATTCTTCCGTCTAGCATTCAATGAAGAAATCCCGTTTCCAACGAAGGCCTCAAACAGGTCCATATATCCACTTGCAGAGTTTACAAACAGTGTGTTTCCAAACTCCTCTATGAAAAGAAAGGTTAAACTCTGTGAGTGGAACGCACACATCACAAAGCACTTTCTGAGAATGATTCTGTCTGGTTGTTATACGAAGATATTTCCTTTTCTGTAATTGTCCTCAAATCGCTTGAAATCTCCACCTGAAAATGCCACAGCAAGAGTGTTTCAAATCTGCTCTCTCTAAAGCAAGGTTCAACTCTGTGAGTTGAATACACACAACACAAAAAAGTTACTGAGAACTCTTCTTAGTCTAGCATGAAAGGAAGAAACCCCGTTTGCAACGAAGGCCTCAAAGAGGTCCAAATATCCACTTGCAGACATAACAAGCAGAGTGTTTCTAAACTGCTCTAAGAAAAGAAAGGTTAAACTCTGTGAGTTGAAGGCACACATCACAAAGTAGTTTCTGAGAATGATTCTGTCTAGTTTTTATTTGAAGATATTTCCTTTTCTACTGTTGGCATCAAATCGCTTGAAATCTCCACTTGCAAACTCCACAAAAAGAGTGTTTCAAATCTGCTCTGTGCAAAGGGACGTTCCACTCTGTGAGTTGAATACACACAGCACAAAGAAGTTACTGAGAATTCTTCTGTCTAGCATGAAATGAAGAAATCCCGTTTCCAACGAAGGCCTCAATGCGGTCCATATATCCACTTGCAGACTTTACAAACAGAGTGTTTCCAAACTGCTCTATGAAAAGAAAGGTTAAACTATGTGAGTTGAACGCACACATCACAAAGAATTTTCTGAGAATGATTCTGTCTGGTTTTTATTTGAAGATATTTCCCTTTCTACTGTTGGCATCAAATGGCTAGAAATCTCCACTTGCAAATTCCGCAAAAAGAGTGTTTGAAATCTGCTCTGTCTAAAGGGACGTTCCACTCTGTGAGTTGAATGCACACAACACAAAGAATTTACTGAGAATTCTTCCGTCTAGCATTCAATGAAGAAATCCCGTTTCCAACGAAGGCCTCAAACAGGTCCATATATCCACTTGCAGACTATACAAACAGTGTGTTTCCAAACTCCTCTATGAAAAGAAAGGTTAAACTCTGTGAGTGGAACGCACACATCACAAAGCGCTTTCTGAGAATGATTCTGTCTGGTTATTATACGGAAGATATTTCCTTTTCTGCAATTGTCCTCAAATCGCTTGAAATCTCCACCTGAAAATGCCACAGCAAGAGTGTTTCAAATCTGCTCTCTCTAAAGCAAGGTTCAACTCTGTGAGTTGAATACACACAACACAAAAAAGTTACTGAGAACTCTTCTTAGTCTAGCATGAAAGGAAGAAACCCCGTTTACAACGAAGGCCTCAAAGAGGTCCAAATATCCACTTGCAGACATAACAAGCAGAGTGTTTCTAAACTGCTCTAAGAAAAGAAAGGTTAAACTCTGTGAGTTGAAGGCACACATCACAAAGTAGTTTCTGAGAATGATTCTGTCTAGTTTTTATTTGAAGATATTTCCTTTTCTACTGTTGGCATCAAATCGCTTGAAATCTCCACTTGCAAACTCCACAAAAAGAGTGTTTCAAATCTGCTCTGTCTAAAGGGACGTTCCACTCTGTGAGTTGAATGCACACAACACAAAGAATTTACTGAGAATTCTTCCGTCTAGCATTCAATGAAGAAATCCCGTTTCCAACGAAGGCCTCAAACAGGTCCATATATCCACTTGCAGACTTTACAAACAGTGTGTTTCCAAACTCCTCTATGAAAAGAAAGGTTAAACTCTGTGAGTTGAACGCACACATCACAAAGCACTTTCTGAGAATGATTCTGTCTGGTTTTTATTTGAAGATATTTCCTTTTCTACTGTTGTCATCAAATCGCTTGAAATCTCCATTTGCAAATTCCAGACAAAGAGTGTTTCAAATCTGCTCTGTCTAAAAGGACGGTTCCACTCTGTGAGTTGAATGCAGACAACACAAAGAATTTACTGAGAATTCTTCCGTCTAGCATTCAATGAAGAAATCCCGTTTCCAACGAAGGCCTCAAACAGGTCCATATATCCACTTGCAGAGTTTACAAAAAGTGTGTTTCCAAACTCCTCTATGAAAAGAAAGGTTAAACTCTGTGAGTGGAACGCACACATCACAAAGCACTTTCTGAGAATGATTCTGTCTGGTTATTATACGAAGATATTCCCTTTTCTGCAATTTTCCTCAAATCGCTTGAAATCTCCACCTGAAAATGCCACAGCAAGAGTGTTTCAATTCTGCTCTCTCTAAAGCAAGGTTCAACTCTGTGAGTTGAATACACACAGCACAAAGAAGTTACTGAGAATTCTTCTGTCTAGCATGAAATGAAGAAATCCCGTTTCCAACGAAGGCCTCAATGCGGTCCATATATCCACTTGCAGACTTTACAAACAGAGTGTTTCCAAACTGCTCTATGAAAAGAAAGGTTAAACTATGTGAGTTGAACGCACACATCACAAAGAATTTTCTGAGAATGATTCTGTCTGGTTTTTATTTGAAGATATTTCCCTTTCTACTGTTGGCATCAAATGGCTAGAAATCTCCACTTGCAAATTCCGCAAAAAGAGTGTTTCAAATCTGCTCCGTCTAAAGGGACGTTCCACTCTGTCAGTTGAATGCACACAACACAAAGAATTTACTGAGAATTCTTCCGTCTAGCATTCAATGAAGAAATCCCGTTTCCAACGAAGGCCTCAAACAGGTCCATATATCCAATTGCAGACTTTACAAACAGTGTGTTTCCAAACTCCTCTATGAAAAGAAAGGTTAAACTCTGTGAGTTGAACGCACACATCACAAAGCACTTTCTGAGAATGATTCTGTCTGGTTATTATACGAAGATATTTCCTTTTCTGCAATTGTCCTCAAATCGCTTGAAATCTCCACCTGAAAATTCCACAGCGAGAGTGTTTCAAATCTGCTCTCTCTAAAGCAAGGTTCAACTCTGTGAGTTGAATACACACAACACAAAAAAGTTACTGAGAACTCTTCTTAGTCTAGCATTAAAGGAAGAAACCCCGTTTGCAACGAAGGCCTCAAAGAGGTCCAAATATCCACTTGCAGACATAACAAGCAGAGTGTTTCTAAACTGCTCTAAGAAAAGAAAGGTTAAACTCTGTGAGTTGAAGGCACACATCACAAAGTAGTTTCTGAGAATGATTCTGTCTAGTTTTTATTTGAAGATATTTCCTTTTCTACTGTTGGCATCAAATCACTTGAAATCTCCACTTGCAAACTCCACAAAAAGAGTGTTTCAAATCTGCTCTGTGCAAAGGGACGTTCCACTCTGTGAGTTGAATACACACAGCACAAAGAAGTTACTGAGAATTCTTCTGTCTAGCATGAAATGAAGAAATCCCGTTTCCAACGAAGGCCTCAATGCGGTCCATATATCCACTTGCAGACTTTACAAACAGAGTGTTTCCAAACTGCTCTATGAAAAGAAAGGTTAAACTATGTGAGTTGAACGCACACATCACAAAGAATTTTCTGAGAATGATTCTGTCTGGTTTTTATTTGAAGATATTTCCCTTTCTACTGTTGGCATCAAATGGCTAGAAATCTCCACTTGCAAATTCCGCAAAAAGAGTGTTTCAAATCTGCTCTGTCTGAAGGGACGTTCCACTCTGTGAGTTGAATGCACACAACACAAAGAATTTACTGAGAATTCTTCCGTCTAGCATTCAATGAAGAAATCCCGTTTCCAACGAAGGCCTCAAACAGGTCCATATATCCACTTTCAGACTTTACAAACAGTGTGTTTCCAAACTCCTCTATGAAAAGAAAGGTTAAACTCTGTGAGTTGAACGCACACATCACAAAGCACTTTCTGAGAATGATTCTGTCTGGTTATTATACGAAGATATTTCCTTTTCTGCAATTGTCCTCAAATCGCTTGAAATCTCCACCTGAAAATGCCACAGCAAGAGTGTTTCAAATCTGCTCTCTCTAAAGCAAGGTTCAACTCTGTGAGTTGAATACACACAACACAAAAAAGTTACTGAGAACTCTTCTTAGTCTAGCATGAAAGGAAGAAACCCCGTTTGCAACGAAGGCCTCAAAGAGGTCCAAATATCCACTTGCAGACATAACAAGCAGAGTGTTTCTAAACTGCTCTAAGAAAAGAAAGGTTAAACTCTGTGAGTTGAAGGCACACATCACAAAGTAGTTTCTGAGAATGATTCTGTCTAGTTTTTATTTGAAGATATTTCCTTTTCTACTGTTGGCATCAAATCGCTTGAAATCTCCACTTGCAAACTCCACAAAAAGAGTGTTTCAAATCTGCTCTGTGCAAAGGGACGTTCCACTCTGTGAGTTGAATACACACAGCACAAAGAAGTTACTGAGAATTCTTCTGTCTAGCATGAAATGAAGAAATCCCGTTTCCAACGAAGGCCTCAATGCGGTCCATATATCCACTTGCAGACTTTACAAACAGAGTGTTTCCAAACTGCTCTATGAAAAGAAAGGTTAAACTATGTGAGTTGAACGCACACATCACAAAGAATTTTCTGAGAATGATTCTGTCTGGTTTTTATTTGAAGATATTTCCCTTTCTACTGTTGGCATCAAATGGCTAGAAATCTCCACTTGCAAATTCCGCAAAAAGAGTGTTTCAAATCTGCTCTGTCTAAAGGGACGTTCCACTCTGTGAGTTGAATGCACACAACACAAAGAATTTACTGAGAATTCTTCCGTCTAGCATTCAATGAAGAAATCCCGTTTCCAACGAAGGCCTCAAACAGGTCCATATATCCAATTGCAGACTTTACAAACAGTGTGTTTCCAAACTCCTCTATGAAAAGAAAGGTTAAACTCTGTGAGTGGAACGCACACATCACAAAGCACTTTCTGAGAATGATTCTGTCTGGTTATTATACGAAGATATTTCCTTTTCTGCAATTGTCCTCAAATCGCTTGAAATCTCCACCTGAAAATGCCACAGCAAGAGTGTTTCAAATCTGCTCTCTCTAAAGCAAGGTTCAACTCTGTGAGTTGAATACACACAACACAAAAAAGTTACTGAGAACTCTTCTTAGTCTAGCATGAAAGGAAGAAACCCCGTTTGCAACGAAGGCCTCAAAGAGGTCCAAATATCCACTTGCAGACATAACAAGCAGAGTGTTTCTAAACTGCTCTAAGAAAAGAAAGGTTAAACTCTGTGAGTTGAAGGCACACATCACAAAGTAGTTTCTGAGAATGATTCTGTCTAGTTTTTATTTGAAGATATTTCCTTTTCTACTGTTGGCATCAAATCGCTTGAAATCTCCACTTGCAAACTCCACAAAAAGAGTGTTTCAAATCTGCTCTGTGCAAAGGGACGTTCCACTCTGTGAGTTGAATACACACAGCACAAAGAAGTTACTGAGAATTCTTCTGTCTAGCATGAAATGAAGAAATCCCGTTTCCAACGAAGGCCTCAATGCGGTCCATATATCCACTTGCAGACTTTACAAACAGAGTGTTTCCAAACTGCTCTATGAAAAGAAAGGTTAAACTATGTGAGTTGAACGCACACATCACAAAGAATTTTCTGAGAATGATTCTGTCTGGTTTTTATTTGAAGATATTTCCCTTTCTACTGTTGGCATCAAATGGCTAGAAATCTCCACTTGCAAATTCCGCAAAAAGAGTGTTTCAAATCTGCTCTGTCTAAAGGGACGTTCCACTCTGTGAGTTGAATGCACACAACACAAAGAATTTACTGAGAATTCCTCCGTCTAGCATTCAATGAAGAAATCCCGTTTCCAACGAAGGCCTCAAACAGGTCCATATATCCACTTGCAGAGTTTACAAACAGTGTGTTTCCAAACTCCTCTATGAAAAGAAAGGTTAAACTCTGTGAGTGGAACGCACACATCACAAAGCACTTTCTGAGAATGATTCTGTCTGGTTATTATACGAAGATATTTCCTTTTCTGCAATTGTCCTCAAAACGCTTGAAATCTCCACCTGAAAATGCCACAGCAAGAGTGTTTCAAATCTGCTCTCTCTAAAGCAAGGTTCAACTCTGTGAGTTGAATACACACAACACAGAAAAGTTACTGAGAACTCTTCTTAGTCTAGCATGAAAGGAAGAAACCCCGTTTGCAACGAAGGCCTCAAAGAGGTCCAAATATCCACTTGCAGACATAACAAGCAGAGTGTTTCTAAACTGCTCTAAGAAAAGAAAGGTTAAACTCTGTGAGTTGAAGGCACACATCACAAAGTAGTTTCTGAGAATGATTCTGTCTAGTTTTTATTTGAAGATATTTCTTTTTCTACTGTTGGCATCAAATCGCTTGAAATCTCCACTTGCAAATTCCACAAAAAGAGTGTTTCAAATCTGCTCTGTGTAAAGGGACGTTCCACTCTGTGAGTTGAATACACACAGCACAAAGAAGTTACTGAGAATTCTTCTGTCTAGCATGAAATGAAGAAATCCCGTTTCCAACGAAGGCCTCAATGCGGTCTATATATCCACTTGCAGACTTTACAAACAGAGTGTTTCCAAACTGATCTATGAAAAGAAAGGTTAAACTATGTGAGTTGAACGCACACATCACAAAGAATTTTCTGAGAATGATTCTGTCTGGTTTTTATTTGAAGATATTTCCCTTTCTACTGTTGGCATCAAATGGCTAGAAATCTCCACTTGCAAATTCCGCAAAAAGAGTGTTTCAAATCTGCTCTGTCTAAAGGGACAGTTCCACTCTGTCAGTTGAATGCACACAACACAAAGAATTTACTGAGAATTCTTCCGTCTAGCATTCAATGAAGAAATCCCGTTTCCAACGAAGGCCTGAAACAGGTCCATATATCCAATTGCAGACTTTACAAACAGTGTGTTTCCAAACTCCTCTATGAAAAGAAAGGTTAAACTCTGTGAGTTGAACGCACACATCACAAAGCACTTTCTGAGAATGATTCTGTCTGGTTATTATACGAAGATATTTCCTTTTCTGCAATTGTCCTCAAATCGCTTGAAATCTCCACCTGAAAATGCCACAGCAAGAGTGTTTCAAATCTGCTCTCTCTAAAGCAAGGTTCAACTCTGTGAGTTGAATACACACAACACAAAAAAGTTACTGAGAACTCTTCTTAGTCTAGCATGAAAGGAAGAAACCCCGTTTGCAACGAAGGCCTCAAAGAGGTCCAAATATCCACTTGCAGACATAACAAGCAGAGTGTTTCTAAACTGCTCTAAGAAAAGAAAGGTTAAACTCTGTGAGTTGAAGGCACACATCACAAAGTAGTTTCTGAGAATGATTCTGTCTAGTTTTTACTTGAAGATATTTCCTTTTCTACTGTTGGCATCAAATCGCTTGAAATCTCCACTTGCAAACTCCACAAGAAGAGTGTTTCAAATCTGCTCTGTGTAAAGGGACGTTCCACTCTGTGAGTTGAATACACACAGCACAAAGAAGTTACTGAGAATTCTTCTGTCTAGCATGAAATGAAGAAATCCCGTTTCCAACGAAGGCCTCAATGCGGTCCATATATCCACTTGCAGACTTTACAAACAGAGTGTTTCCAAACTGCTCTATGAAAAGAAAGGTTAAACTATGTGAGTTGAACGCACACATCACAAAGAATTTTCTGAGAATGATTCTGTCTGGTTTTTATTTGAAGATATTTCCCTTTCTACTGTTGGCATCAAATGGCTAGAAATCTCCACTTGCAAATTCCGCAAAAAGAGTGTTTCAAATCTGCTCTGTCTAAAGGGACGTTCCACTCTGTGAGTTGAATGCACACAACACAAAGAATTTACTGAGAATTCTTCCGTCTAGCATTCAATGAAGAAATCCCGTTTCCAACGAAGGCCTCAAACAGGTCCATATATCCAATTGCAGACTTTACAAACAGTGTGTTTCCAAACTCCTCTATGAAAAGAAAGGTTAAACTCTGTGAGTTGAACGCACACATCACAAAGCACTCTCTGAGAATGATTCTGTCTGGTTGTTATACGAAGATATTTCCTTTTCTGCAATTGTCCTCAAATCGCTTGAAATCTCCACCTGAAAATGCCACAGCAAGAGTGTTTCAAATCTGCTCTCTCTAAAGCAAGGTTCAACTCTGTGAGTTGAATGCACACAACACAAAAAAGTTACTGAGAACTCTTCTTAGTCTAGCATGAAAGGAAGAAACCCCGTTTGCAACGAAGGCCTCAAAGAGGTCCAAATATCCACTTGCAGACATAACAAGCAGAGTGTTTCTAAACTGCTCTAAGAAAAGAAAGGTTAAACTCTGTGAGTTGAAGGCACACATCACAAAGTAGTTTCTGAGAATGATTCTGTCTAGTTTTTATTTGAAGATATTTCCTTTTCTACTGTTGGCATCAAATCGCTTGAAATCTCCACTTGCAAACTCCACAAAAAGAGTGTTTCAAATCTGCTCTGTGTAAAGGGACGTTCCACTCTGTGAGTTGAATACACACAGCACAAAGAAGTTACTGAGAATTCTTCTGTCTAGCATGAAATGAAGAAATCCCGTTTCCAACGAAGGCCTCAATGCGGTCCATATATCCACTTGCAGACTTTACAAACAGAGTGTTTCCAAACTGCTCTATGAAAAGAAAGGTTAAACTATGTGAGTTGAACGCACACATCACAAAGAATTTTCTGAGAATGATTCTGTCTGGTTTTTATTTGAAGATATTTCCCTTTCTACTGTTGGCATCAAATGGCTAGAAATCTCCACTTGCAAATTCCGCAAAAAGAGTGTTTCAAATCTGCTCTGTCTAAAGGGACGTTCCACTCTGTGAGTTGAATGCACACAACACAAAGAATTTACTGAGAATTCTTCCGTCTAGCATTCAATGAAGAAATCCCGTTTCCAACGGAAGCCTCAAACAGGTCCATATATCCAATTGCAGACTTTACAAACAGTGTGTTTCCAAGCTCCTCTATGAAAAGAAAGGTTAAACTCTGTGAGTTGAACGCACACATCACAAAGCACTTTTTGAGAATGATTCTGTCTGGTTATTATACGAAGATATTTCCTTTTCTGCAATTGTCCTCAAATCGCTTGAAATCTCCACCTGAAAATGCCACAGCAAGAGTGTTTCAAATCTGCTCTCTCTAAAGCAAGGTTCAACTCTGTGAGTTGAATACACACAACACAAAAAAGTTACTGAGAACTCTTCTTAGTCTAGCATGAAAGGAAGAAACCCCGTTTGCAACGAAGGCCTCAAAGAGGTCCAAATATCCACTTGCAGACATAACAAGCAGAGTGTTTCTAAACTGCTCTAAGAAAAGAAAGGTTAAACTTTGTGAGTTGAAGGCACACATCACAAAGAATTTTCTGAGGATGATTCTGTCTAGTTTTTATTTGAAGATATTTCCCTTTCTACTGTTGGCATCAAATGGCTAGAAATCTCCACTTGCAAATTCCGCAAAAAGAGTGTTTCAAATCTGCTCTGTCTAAAGGGACGTTCCACTCTGTGAGTTGAATGCACACAACACAAAGAATTTACTGAGAATTCTTCCGTCTAGCATGCAATGAAGAAATCCCGTTTCCAACGAAGGCCTCAAACAGGTCCATATATCCAATTGCAGACTTTACAAACAGTGTGTTTCCAAACTCCTCTATGAAAAGAAAGGTTAAACTCTGTGAGTTGAACGCACACATCACAAAGCACTTTCTGAGAATGATTCTGTCTGGTTGTTATACGAAGATATTTCCTTTTCTGCAATTGTCCTCAAATCGCTTGAAATCTCCAACTGAAAATGCCACAGCAAGAGTGTTTCAAATCTGCTCTCTCTAAAGCATGGTTCAACTCTGTGAGTTGAATACACACAACACAAAAAAGTTACTGAGAACTCTTCTTAGTCTAGCATGAAAGGAAGAAACCCCGTTTGCAACGAAGGCCTCAAAGAGGTCCAAATATCCACTTGCAGACATAACAAGCAGAGTGTTTCTAAACTGCTCTAAGAAAAGAAAGGTTAAACTCTGTGAGTTGAAGGCACACATCACAAAGTAGTTTCTGAGAATGATTCTGTCTAGTTTTTATTTGAAGATATTTCCTTTTCTACTGTTGGCATCAAATCGCTTGAAATCTTCACTTGCAAACTCCACAAAAAGAGTGTTTCAAATCTGCTCTGTGTAAAGGGACGTTCCACTCTGTGAGTTGAATACACACAGCACAAAGAAGTTGCTGAGAGTTCTTCTGTCTAGCATGAAATGAAGAAATCCCGTTTCCAACGAAGGCCTCAATGCGGTCCATATATCCACTTGCAGACTTTACAAACAGAGTGTTTCCAAACTGCTCTATGAAAAGAAAGGTTAAACTATGTGAGTTGAACGCACACATCACAAAGAATTTTCTGAGAATGATTCTGCCTGGTTTTTATTTGAAGATATTTCCCTTTCTACGGTTGGCATCAAATGGCTAGAAATCTCCACTTGCAAATTCCGCAAAAAGAGTGTTTCAAATCTGCTCTGTCTAAAGGGACGTTCCACTCTGTGAGTTGAATGCACACAACACAAAGAATTTACTGAGAATTCTTCCGTCTAGCATTCAATGAAGAAATCCCGTTTCCAACGAAGGCCTCAAACAGGTCCATATATCCACTTGCAGACTTTACAAACAGTGTGTTTCCAAACTCCTCTATGAAAAGAAAGGTTAAACTCTGTGAGTGGAACGCACACATCACAAAGCACTTTCTGAGAATGATTCTGTCTGGTTATTATACGAAGATATTTCCTTTTCTGCAATTGTCCTCAAATCGCTTGAAATCTCCACCTGAAAATGCCACAGCAAGAGTGTTTCAAATCTGCTCTCTCTAAAGCAAGGTTCAACTCTGTGAGTTGAATACACACAACACAAAAAAGTTACTGAGAACTCTTCTTAGTCTAGCATGAAAGGAAGAAACCCCGTTTGCAACGAAGGCCTCAAAGAGGTCCAAATATCCACTTGCAGACATAACAAGCAGAGTGTTTCTAAACTGCTCTAAGAAAAGAAAGGTTAAACTCTGTGAGTTGAAGGCACACATCACAAAGTAGTTTCTGAGAATGATTCTGTCTAGTTTTTATTTGAAGATATTTCCTTTTCTACTGTTGGCATCAAATCGCTTGAAATCTCCACTTGCAAACTCCACAAAAAGAGTGTTTCAAATCTGCTCTGTGCAAAGGGACGTTCCACTCTGTGAGTTGAATACACACAGCACAAAGAAGTTACTGAGAATTCTTCTGTCTAGCATGAAATGAAGAAATCCCGTTTCCAACGAAGGCCTCAATGCGGTCCATATATCCACTTGCAGACTTTACAAACAGAGTGTTTCCAAACTGCTCTATGAAAAGAAAGGTTAAACTATGTGAGTTGAACGCACACATCACAAAGAATTTTCTGAGAATGATTCTGTCTGGTTTTTATTTGAAGATATTTCCCTTTCTACTGTTGGCATCAAATGGCTAGAAATCTCCACTTGCAAATTCCGCAAAAAGAGTGTTTCAAATCTGCTCTGTCTAAAGGGACGTTCCACTCTGTGAGTTGAATGCACACCACACAAAGAATTTACTGAGAATTCTTCCGTCTAGCATGCAATGAAGAAATCCCGTTTCCAACGAAGGCCTCAAACAGGTCCATATATCCAATTGCAGACTTTACAAACAGTGTGTTTCCAAACTCCTCTATGAAAAGAAAGGTTAAACTCTGTGAGTTGAACGCACACATCACAAAGCACTTTCTGAGAATGATTCTGTCTGGTTGTTATACGAAGATATTTCCTTTTCTGCAATTGTCCTCAAATCGCTTGAAATCTCCACCTGAAAATGCCACAGCAAGAGTGTTTCAAATCTGCTCTCTCTAAAGCAAGGTTCAACTCTGTGAGTTGAATACACACAACACAAAAATGTTACTGAGAACTCTTCTTAGTCTAGCATGAAAGGAAGAAACCCCGTTTGCAACGAAGGCCTCAAAGAGGTCCAAATATCCACTTGCAGACATAACAAGCAGAGTGTTTCTAAACTGCTCTAAGAAAAGAAAGGTTAAACTCTGTGAGTTGAAGGCACACATCACAAAGTAGTTTCTGAGAATGATTCTGTCTAGTTTTTATTTGAAGATATTTCCTTTTCTACTGTTGGCATCAAATCGCTTGAAATCTCCACTTGCAAACTCCACAAAAAGAGTGTTTCAAATCTGCTCTGTGCAAAGGGACGTTCCACTCTGTGAGTTGAATACACACAGCACAAAGAAGTTACTGAGAATTCTTCTGTCTAGCATGAAATGAAGAAATCCCGTTTCCAACGAAGGCCTCAATGCGGTCCATATATCCACTTGCAGACTTTACAAACAGAGTGTTTCCAAACTGCTCTATGAAAAGAAAGGTTAAACTATGTGAGTTGAACGCACACATCACAAAGAATTTTCTGAGAATGATTCTGTCTGGTTTTTATTTGAAGATATTTCCCTTTCTACTGTTGGCATCAAATGGCTAGAAATCTCCACTTGCAAATTCCGCAAAAAGAGTGTTTCAAATCTGCTCTGTCTAAAGGGACGTTCCACTCTGTCAGTTGAATGCACACAACACAAAGAATTTACTGAGAATTCTTCCGTCTAGCATTCAATGAAGAAATCCCGTTTCCAACGAAGGCCTCAAACAGGTCCATATATCCACTTGCAGACTTTACAAACAGTGTGTTTCCAAACTCCTCTATGAAAAGAAAGGTTAAACTCTGTGAGTTGAACGCACACATCACAAAGCACTTTCTGAGAATGATTCTGTCTGGTTATTATACGAAGATATTTCCTTTTCTGCAATTGTCCTCAAACCGCTTGAAATCTCCACCTGAAAATGCCACAGCAAGAGTGTTTCAAATCTGCTCTCTCTAAAGCAAGGTTCAACTCTGTGAGTTGAATACACACAACACAAAAAAGTTACTGAGAACTCTTCTTAGTCTAGCATGAAAGGAAGAAACCCCGTTTGCAACGAAGGCCTCAAACAGGTCCAAATATCCACTTGCAGACATAACAAGCAGAGTGTTTCTAAACTGCTCTAAGAAAAGAAAGGTTAAACTCTGTGAGTTGAAGGCACACATCACAAAGTAGTTTCTGAGAATGATTCTGTCTAGTTTTTATTTGAAGATATTTCCTTTTCTACTGTTGGCATCAAATCGCTTGAAATCTCCACTTGCAAACTCCACAAAAAGAGTGTTTCAAATCTGCTCTGTGCAAAGGGACGTTCCACTCTGTGAGTTGAATACACACAGCACAAAGAAGTTACTGAGAATTCTTCTGTCTAGCATGAAATGAAGAAATCCCGTTTCCAACGAAGGCCTCAATGCGGTCCATATATCCACTTGCAGACTTTACAAACAGAGTGTTTCCAAACTGCTCTATGAAAAGAAAGGTTAAACTATGTGAGTTGAACGCACACATCACAAAGAATTTTCTGAGAATGATTCTGTCTGGTTTTTATTTGAAGATATTTCCCTTTCTACTGTTGGCATCAAATGGCTAGAAATCTCCACTTGCAAATTCCGCAAAAAGAGTGTTTCAAATCTGCTCTGCCTAAAGGGACGTTCTACTCTGTGAGTTGAATGCACACAACACAAAGAATTTACTGAGAATTCTTCCGTCTAGCATTCAATGAAGAAATCCCGTTTCCAACGAAGGCCTCAAACAGGTCCATATATCCACTTGCAGAGTTTACAAACAGTTTGTTTCCAAACTCCTCTATGAAAAGAAAGGTTAAACTCTGTGAGTGGAACGCACACATCACAAAGCACTTTCTGAGAATGATTCTGTCTGGTTATTATACGAAGATATTTCCTTTTCTGCAATTGTCCTCAAATCGCTTGAAATCTCCACCTGAAAATGCCACAGCAAGAGTGTTTCAAATCTGCTCTCTCTAAAGCAAGGTTCAACTCTGTGAGTTGAATACACACAACACAAAAAAGTTACTGAGAACTCTTCTTAGTCTAGCATGAAAGGAAGAAACCCCGTTTGCAACGAAGGCCTCAAAGAGGTCCAAATATCCACTTGCAGACATAACAAGCAGAGTGTTTCTAAACTGCTCTAAGAAAAGAAAGGTTAAACTCTGTGAGTTGAAGGCACACATCACAAAGTAGTTTCTGAGAATGATTCTGTCTAGTTTTTATTTGAAGATATTTCCTTTTCTACTGCTGGCATCAAATCGCTTGAAATCTCCACTTGCAAACTCCACAAAAAGAGTGTTTCAAATCTGCTCTGTGTAAAGGGACGTTCCACTCTGTGAGTTGAATACACACAGCACAAAGAAGTTACTGAGAATTCTTCTGTCTCGCATGAAATGAAGAAATCCCGTTTCCAACGAAGGCCTCAATGCGGTCCATATATCCACTTGCAGACTTTACAAACAGAGTGTTTCCAAACTGCTCTATGAAAAGAAAGGTTAAACTATGTGAGTTGAACGCACACATCACAAAGAATTTTCTGAGAATGATCCTGTCTGGTTTTTATTTGAAGATATTTCACTTTCTACTGTTGGAATCAAATGGCTAGAAATCTCCACTTGCAAATTCCGCAAAAAGAGTGTTTCAAATCTGCTCTGTCTAAAGGGACGTTCCACTCTGTCAGTTGAATGCACACAACACAAAGAATTTACTGAGAATTCTTCCGTCTAGCATTCAATGAAGAAATCCCGTTTCCAACGAAGGCCTCAAACAGGTCCATATATCCACTTGCAGACTTTACAAACAGTGTGTTTCCAAACTCCTCTATGGAAAGAAAAGTTAAACTCTGTGAGTTGAACGCACACATCACAAAGCACTTTCTGAGAATGATTCTGTCTGGTTATTATACGAAGATATTTCCTTTTCTGCAATTGTCCTCAAAACGCTTGAAATCTCCACCTGAAAATGCCACAGCAAGAGTGTTTCAAATCTGCTCTCTCTAAAGCAAGGTTCAACTCTGTGAGTTGAATACACACAACACAAAAAAGTTACTGAGAACTCTTCTTAGTCTAGCATGAAAGGAAGAAACCCCGTTTGCAACGAAGGCCTCAAAGAGGTCCAAATATCCACTTGCAGACATAACAAGCAGAGTGTTTCTAAACTGCTCTAAGAAAAGAAAGGTTAAACTCTGTGAGTTGAAGGCACACATCACAAAGTAGTTTCTGAGAATGATTCTGTCTAGTTTTTATTTGAAGATATTTCCTTTTCTACTGTTGGCATCAAATCGCTTGAAATCTCCACTTGCAAATTCCACAAAAAGAGTGTTTCAAATCTGCTCTGTGTAAAGGAACGTTCCACTCTGTGAGTTGAATACACACAGCACAAAGAAGTTACTGAGAATTCTTCTGTCTAGCATGAAATGAAGAAATCCCGTTTCCAACGAAGGCCTCAATGCGGTCCATATATCCACTTGCAGACTTTACAAACAGAGTGTTTCCAAACTGCTCTATGAAAAGAAAGGTTAAACTATGTGAGTTGAACGCACACATCACAAAGAATTTTCTGAGAATGATTCTGTCTGGTTTTTATTTGAAGATATTTCCCTTTCTACTGTTGGCATCAAATGGCTAGAAATCTCCACTTGCAAATTCCGCAAAAAGAGTGTTTCAAATCTGCTCTGTCTAAAGGGACGCTCCACTCTGTCAGTTGAATGCACACAACACAAAGAATTTACTGAGACTTCTTCCGTCTAGCATTCAATGAAGAAATCCCGTTTCCAAAGAAGGCCTCAAACAGGTCCATATATCCAATTGCAGACTTTACAAACAGTGTGTTTCCAAACTCCTCTATGAAAAGAAAGGTTAAACTCTGTGAGTTGAACGCACACATCACAAAGCACTTTCTGAGAATGATTCTGTCTGGTTATTATACGAAGATATTTCCTTTTCTGCAATTGTCCTCAAATCGCTTGAAATCTCCACCTGAAAATGCCACAGCAAGAGTGTTTCAAATCTGCTCTCTCTAAAGCAAGGTTCAACTCTGTGAGTTGAATACACACAACACAAAAAAGTTACTGAGAACTCTTCTTAGTCTAGCATGAAAGGAAGAAACCCCGTTTGCAACGAAGGCCTCAAAGAGGTCCAAATATCCACTTGCAGACATAACAAGCAGAGTGTTTCTAAACTGCTCTAAGAAAAGAAAGGTTAAACTCTGTGAGTTGAAGGCACACATCACAAAGTAGTTTCTGAGAATGATTCTGTCTAGTTTTTATTTGAAGATATTTCCTTTTCTACTGTTGGCATCAAATCGCTTGAAATCTCCACTTGCAAATTCCACAAAAAGTGTGTTTCAAATCTTCTCTGTCTAAAGGGACGTTCCACTCTGTGAGTTGAATACACACAACACAAAGAAGTTACTGAGAATTCTTCTGTCTAGCATGAAATGAAGAAATCCCGTTTCCAACGAAGGCCTCAATGCGGTCCATATATCCACTTGCAGACTTTGCAAACAGAGTGTTTCCAAACTGCTCTATGAAAAGAAAGTTTAAACTATGTGATTTGAACGCACACATCACAAAGAATTTTATGAGAATGATTCTGTCTGGTTTTTATTTGAAGATATTTCCCTTTCTACTGTTGGCATCAAATTGCTAGAAATCTCCACTTGCAAATTCCGCAAAAAGAGTGTTTCAAATCTGCTCTGTCTAAAGGGACGTTCCACTCTGTGAGTTGAACGCACACGACACAAAGAATTTACTGAGAATTCTTCCGTCTAGCATTCAATGAAGAAATCCCGTTTCCAACGAAGGCCTCAAACAGGTCCATATATCCAATTGCAGACTTTACAAACAGTGTGTTTCCAAACTCCTTTATGAAAAGAAAGGTTAACTCTGTGAGTTGAATGCACACATCACAAAGCACTTTCTGATAATGATTCTGTCTAGTTTTTGTTTGCAGATATTTCCTTTTCTACTGTTGGCATCAAATCGCTTGAAATCTCCACTTGCAAATTCCACAAAAAGAGTGTTTCAAATCTGCTCTGTGTAAAGGGACGTTCCAATCTGTGAGTTGAATACACACAACACAAAGAAGTTACTGAGAATTCTTCTGTCTAGCATGAAATGAAGAAATCCCGTTTCCAACGAAGGCCTCAATGCGGTCCATATATCCACTTGCAGACTTTACAAACAGAGTGTTTCCAAACTGCTCTATGAAAAGAAAGGTTAAACTATGTGAGTTGAACGCACTCATCACAAAGAATTTTCTGAGAATGATTCTGTCTGGTTTTTATTTGAAGATATTTCCCTTTCTACTGTTGGCATCAAATGGCTAGAAATCTCCACTTGCAAATTCCGCAAAAAGAGTGTTTCAAATCTGCTCTGTCTAAAGGGACGTTCCACTCTGTGAGTTGAATGCACACAACACAAAGAATTTACTGAGAATTCTTCCGTCTAGCATTCAATGAAGAAATCCCGTTTCCAACGAAGGCCTCAAACAGGTCCATATATCCAATTGCAGACTTTACAAACAGTGTGTTTCCAAACTCCTCTATGGAAAGAAAGGTTAAACTCTGTGAGTTGAACGCACACATCACAAAGCACTTTCTGAGAATGATTCTGTCTGGTTATTATACGAAGATATTTCCTTTTCTGCAATTGTCCTCAAATCGCTTGAAATCTCCACCTGAAAATGCCACAGCAAGAGTGTTTCAAATCTGCTCTCTCTAAAGCAAGGTTCAACTCTGTGAGTTGAATACACACAACACAAAAAAGTTACTGAGAACTCTTCTTAGTCTAGCATGAAAGGAAGAAACCCCGTTTGCAACGAAGGCCTCAAAGAGGTCCAAATATCCACTTGCAGACATAACAAGCAGAGTGTTTCTAAGCTGCTCTAAGAAAAGAAAGGTTAAACTCTGTGAGTTGAAGGCACACATCACAAAGTAGTTTCTGAGAATGATTCTGTCTAATTTTTATTTGAAGATACTTCCTTTTCTACTGTTGGCATCAAATCGCTTGAAATCTCCACTTGCAAACTCCACAAAAAGAGTGTTTCAAATCTGCTCTGTGCAAAGGGACGTTCCACTCTGTGAGTTGAATACACACAGCACAAAGAAGTTACTGAGAATTCTTCTGTCTAGCATGAAATGAAGAAATCCCGTTTCCAACGAAGGCCTCAATGCGGTCCATATATCCACTTGCAGACTTTACAAACAGAGTGTTTCCAAACTGCTCTATGAAAAGAAAGGTTAAACTATGTGAGTTGAACGCACACATCACAAAGAATTTTCTGAGAATGATTCTGTCTGGTTTTTATTTGAAGATATTTCCCTTTCTACTGTTGGCATCAAATGGCTAGAAATCTCCACTTGCAAATTCCGCAAAAAGAGTGTTTCAAATCTGCTCTGTCTAAAGGGACGTTCCACTCTGTGAGTTGAATGCACACAACACAAAGAATTTACTGAGAATTCTTCCGTCTAGCATTCAATGAAGAAATCCCGTTTCCAACGAAGGCCTCAAACAGGTCCATATATCCACTTGCAGACTTTACAAACAGTGTGTTTCCAAACTCCTCTATGAAAAGAAAGGTTAAACTCTGTGAGTTGAACGCACACATCACAAAGCACTTTCTGAGAATGATTCTGTCTGGTTATTATACGAAGATATTTCCTTTTCTGCAATTGTCCTCAAATCGCTTGAAATCTCCACCTGAAAATGCCACAGCAAGAGTGTTTCAAATCTGCTCTCTCTAAAGCAAGGTTCAACTCTGTGAGTTGAATACACACAACACAAAAAAGTTACTGAGAACTCTTCTTAGTCTAGCATGAAAGGAAGAAACCCCGTTTGCAACGAAGGCCTCAAAGAGGTCCAAATATCCACTTGCAGACATAACAAGCAGAGTGTTTCTAAACTGCTCTAAGAAAAGAAAGGTTAAACTCTGTGAGTTGAAGGCACACATCACAAAGTAGTTTCTGAGAATGATTCTGTCTAGTTTTTATTTGAAGATATTTCCTTTTCTACTGTTGGCATCAAATCGCTTGAAATCTCCACTTGCAAACTCCACAAAAAGAGTGTTTCAAATCTGCTCTGTGCAAAGGGAAGTTCCACTCTGTGAGTTGAATACACACAGCACAAAGAAGTTACTGAGAATTCTTCTGTCAAGCACGAAATGAAGAAATCCCGTTTCCAACGAAGGCCTCAATGCGGTCTATATATCCACTTGCAGACTTTACAAACAGAGTGTTTCCAAACTGCTCTATGAAAAGAAAGGTTAAACTATGTGAGTTGAACGCACACATCACAAAGAATTTTCTGAGAATGATTCTGTCTGGTTTTTATTTGAAGATATTTCCCTTTCTACTGTTGGCATCAAATGGCTAGAAATCTCCACTTGCAAATTCCGCAAAAAGAGTGTTTCAAATCTGCTCTGTCTAAAGGGACGTTCCACTCTGTGGGTTGAATGCACACAACACAAAGAATTTACTGAGAATTCTTCCGTCTAGCATTCAATGAAGAAATCCCGTTTCCAAAGAAGGCCTCAAACAGGTCCATATATCCAATTGCAGACTTTACAAACAGTGTGTTTCCAAACTCCTCTATGAAAAGAAAGGTTAAACTCTGTGAGTTGAACGCACACATCACAAAGCACTTTCTGAGAATGATTCTGTCTGGTTATTATACGAAGATATTTCCTTTTCTGCAATTGTCCTCAAATCGCTTGAAATCTCCACCTGAAAATGCCACAGCAAGAGTGTTTCAAATCTGCTCTCTCTAAAGCAAGGTTCAACTCTCTGAGTTGAATACACACAACACAAAAAAGTTACTGAGAACTCTTCTTAGTCTAGCATGAAAGGAAGAAACCCCGTTTGCAAGGAAGGCCTCAAAGAGGTCCAAATATCCACTTGCAGACATAACAAGCAGAGTGTTTCTAAACTGCTCTAAGAAAAGAAAGGTTAAACTCTGTGAGTTGAAGGCACACATCACAAAGTAGTTTCTGAGAATGATTCTGTCTAGTTTTTATTTGAAGATATTTCCTTTTCTACTGTTGGCATCAAATCGCTTGAAATCTCCACTTGCAAACTCCACAAAAAGAGTGTTTCAAATCTGCTCTGTGTAAAGGGACGTTCCACTCTGTGAGTTGAATACACACAGCACAAAGAAGTTACTGAGAATTCTTCTGTCTAGCATGAAATGAAGAAATCCCGTTTCCAACGAAGGCCTCAATGCGGTCCATATATCCACTTGCAGACTTTACAAACAGAGTGTTTCCAAACTGCTCTATGAAAAGAAAGGTTAAACTATGTGAGTTGAACGCACACATCACAAAGAATTTTCTGAGAATGATTCTGTCTGGTTTTTATTTGAAGATATTTCCCTTTCTACTGTTGACATCAAATGGCTAGAAATCTCCACTTGCAAATTCCGCAAAATGAGTGTTTCAAATCTGCTCTGTCTAAAGGGACGTTCCACTCTGTGAGTTCAATGCACACAACACAAAGAATTTACTGAGAATTCTTCCGTCTAGCATTCAATGAAGAAATCCCGTTTCCAACGGAGGCCTCAAACAGGTCCATATATCCAATTGCAGACTTTACAAACAGTGTGTTTCCAAGCTCCTCTATGAAAAGAATGGTTAAACTCTGTGAGTTGAACGCACACATCACAAAGCACTTTCTGAGAATGATTCTGTCTGGTTATTATACGAAGATATTTCCTTTTCTGCAATTGTCCTCAAATCGCATGAAATCTCCACCTGAAAATTCCACAGCGAGAGTGTTTCAAATCTGCTCTCTCTAAAGCAAGGTTCAACTCTGTGAGTTGAATACACACAACACAAAAAAGTTACTGAGAACTCTTCTTAGTCTAGCATTAAAGGAAGAAACCCCGTTTGCAACGAAGGCCTCAAAGAGGTCCAAATATCCACTTGCAGACATAACAAGCAGAGTGTTTCTAAACTGCTCTAAGAAAAGAAAGGTTAAACTCTGTGAGTTGAAGGCACACATCACAAAGTAGTTTCTGAGAATGATTCTGTCTAGTTTTTATTTGAAGATATTTCATTTTCTACTGTTGGCATCAAATCGCTTGAAATCTCCACTTGCAAACTCCACAAAAAGAGTGTTTCAAATCTGCTCTGTGTAAAGAGACGTTCCACTCTGTGAGTTGAATACACACAGCACAAAGAAGTTACTGAGAATTCTTCTGTCTAGCATGAAATGAAGAAATCCCGTTTCCAACGAAGGCCTCAATGCGGTCCATAGATCCACTTGCAGACTTTACAAACAGAGTGTTTCCAAACTGCTCTATGAAAAGAAAGGTTAAACTATGTGAGTTGAACGCACACATCACAAAGAATTTTCTGAGAATGATTCTGTCTGGTTTTTATTTGAAGATATTTCCCTTTCTACTGTTGGCATCAAATGGCTAGAAATCTCCACTTGCAAATTCCGCAAAAAGAGTGTTTCAAATCTGCTCTGTCTAAAGGGACGTTCCACTCTGTGAGTTGAATGCACACAACACAAAGAATTTACTGAGAATTCTTCCGTCTAGCATTCAATGAAGAAATCCCGTTTCCAACGAAGGCCTCAAAGAGGTCCATATATCCACTTGCAGACTTTACAAACAGAGTGTTTCCAAACTGCTCTATGAAAAGAAAGGTTAAACTATGTGAGTTGAACGCACACATCACAAAGAATTTTCTGAGAATGATTCTGTCTGGTTTTTATTTGAAGATATTTCCCTTTCTACTGTTGGCATCAAATGGCTAGAAATCTCCACTTGCAAATTCCGCAAAAAGAGTGTTTCAAATCTGCTGTGTCTAAAGGGACGTTCCACTCTGTGAGTTGAATGCACACAACACAAAGAATTTACTGAGAATTCTTCCGTCTAGCATTCAATGAAGAAATCCCGTTTCCAACGAAGGCCTCAAACAGGTCCATATATCCACTTGCAGACTTTACAAACAGTGTGTTTCCAAACTCCTCTATGAAAAGAAAGGTTAAACTCTGTGAGTGGAACGCACACATCACAAAGCACTTTCTGAGAATGATTCTGTCTGGTTATTATACGAAGATATTTCCTTTTCTGCAATTGTCCTCAAATCGCTTGAAATCTCCACCTGAAAATTCCACAGCAAGAGTGTTTCAAATCTGCTCTCTCTAAAGCAAGGTTCAACTCTGTGAGTTGAATACACACAACACAAAAAAGTTACTGAGAACTCTTCTTAGTCTAGCATGAAATGAAGAAACCCCGTTTGCAACGAAGGCCTCAAAGAGGTCCAAATATCCACTTGCAGACATAACAAGCAGAGTGTTTCTAAACTGCTCTAAGAAAAGAAAGGTTAAACTCTGTGAGTTGAAGGCACACATCACAAAGTAGTTTCTGAGAATGATTCTGTCTAGTTTTTATTTGAAGATATTTCCTTTTCTACTGTTGGCATCAAATCGCTTGAAATCTCCACTTGCAAACTCCACAAAAAGAGTGTTTCAAATCTGCTCTGTGCAAAGGGACGTTCCACTCTGTGAGTTGAATACACACAGCACAAAGAAGTTACTGAGAATTCTTCTGTCTAGCATGAAATGAAGAAATCCCGTTTCCAACGAAGGCCTCAATGCGGTCCATATATCCACTTGCAGACTTTACAAACAGAGTGTTTCCAAACTGCTCTATGAAAAGAAAGGTTAAACTATGTGAGTTGAACGCACACATCACAAAGAATTTTCTGAGAATGATTCTGTCTGGTTTTTATTTGAAGATATTTCCCTTTCTACTGTTGGCATCAAATGGCTAGAAATCTCCACTTGCAAATTCCGCAAAAAGAGTGTTTCAAATCTGCTCTGTCTAAAGGGACGTTCCACTCTGTGAGTTGAATGCAGACAACACAAAGAATTTACTGAGAATTCTTCCGTGTAGCATTCAATGAAGAAATCCCGTTTCCAACGAAGGCCTCAAACAGGTCCATATATCCAATTGCAGACTTTACAAACAGTGTGTTTCCAAACTCCTCTATGAAAAGAAAGGTTAAACTCTGTGAGTTGAACGCACACATCACAAAGCACTTTCTGAGAATGATTCTGTCTGGTTATTATACGAAGATATTTCCTTTTCTGCAATTGTCCTCAAATCGCTTGAAATCTCCACCTGAAAATGCCACAGCAAGAGTGTTTCAAATCTGCTCTCTCTAAAGCAAGGTTCAACTCTGTGAGTTGAATACACACAACACAAAAAAGTTACTGAGAACTCTTCTTAGTCTAGCATGAAAGGAAGAAACCCCGTTTGCAACGAAGGCCTCAAAGAGGTCCAAATATCCACTTGCAGACATAACAAGCAGAGTGTTTCTAAACTGCTCTAAGAAAAGAAAGGTTAAACTGTGTGAGTTGAACGCACACATCACAAAGAATTTTCTGAGAATGATTCTGTCTGGTTTTTATTTGAAGATATTTCCCTTTCTACTGTTGGCATCAAATGGCTAGAAATCTCCACTTGCAAATTCCGCAAAAAGAGTGTTTCAAATCTGCTCTGTCTAAAGGGACGTTCCACTCTGTGAGTTGAATGCACACAACACAAAGAATTTACTGAGAATTCTTCCGTCTAGCATTCAATGAAGAAATCCCGTTTCCAACGAAGGCCTCAAAGAGGTCCATATATCCACTTGCAGACTTTACAAACAGTGTGTTTCCAAACTCCTCTATGAAAAGAAAGGTTAAACTTCTGTGAGTGGAACGCACACATCACAAAGCACTTTCTGAGAATGATTCTGTCTGGTTATTATACGAAGATATTTCCTTTTCTGCAATTGTCCTCAAATCGCTTGAAATCTCCACCTGAAAATGCCACAGCAAGAGTGTTTCAAATCTGCTCTCTCTAAAGCAAGGTTCAACTCTGTGAGTTGAATACACACAACACAAAAAAGTTACTGAGAACTCTTCTTAGTCTAGCATGAAAGGAAGAAACCCCGTTTGCAACGAAGGCCTCAAAGAGGTCCAAATATCCACTTGCAGACATAACAAGCAGAGTGTTTCTAAACTGCTCTAAGAAAAGAAAGGTTAAACTCTGTGAGTTGAAGGCACACATCACAAAGTAGTTTCTGAGAATGATTCTGTCTAGTTTTTATTTGAAGATATTTCCTTTTCTACTGTTGGCATCAAATCGCTTGAAATCTCCACTTGCAAACTCCACAAAAAGAGTGTTTCAAATCTGCTCTGTGTAAAGGGACATTCCACTCTGTGAGTTGAATACACACAGCACAAAGAAGTTACTGAGAATTCTTCTGTCTAGCATGAAATGAAGAACTCCCGTTTCCAACGAAGGCCTCAATGCGGTCCATATATCCACTTGCAGACTTTACAAACAGAGTGTTTCCAAACTGCTCTATGAAAAGAAAGGTTAAACTATGTGAGTTGAACGCACACATCACAAAGAATTTTCTGAGAACGATTCTGTCTGATTTTTATTTGAAGATATTTCCCTTTCTACTGTTGGCATCAAATGGCTAGAAATCTCCACTTGCAAATTCCGCAAAAAGAGTGTTTCAAATCTGCTCTGTCTAAAGGGACGTTCCACTCTGTGAGTTGAATGCACACAACACAAAGAATTTACTGAGAATTCTTCCGTCTAGCATTCAATGAAGAAATCCCGTTTCCAACGAAGGCCTCAAACAGGTCCATATATCCAATTGCAGACTTTACAAACAGTGTGTTTCCAAACTCCTCTATGAAAAGAAAGGTTAAACTCTGTGAGTTGAACGCACACATCACAAAGCACTTTCTGAGAATGATTCTGTCTGGTTGTTATACGAAGATATTTCCTTTTCTGCAATTGTCCTCAAATCGCTTGAAATCTCCACCTGAAAATGCCACAGCAAGAGTGTTTCAAATCTGCTCTCTCTAAAGCAAGGTTCAACTCTGTGAGTTGAATACACACAACGCAAAAAAGTTACTGAGAACTCTTCTTAGTCTAGCATGAAAGGAAGAAACCCCGTTTGCAACGAAGGCCTCAAAGAGGTCCAAATATCCACTTGCAGACATAACAAGCAGAGTGTTTCTAAACTGCTCTAAGAAAAGAAAGGTTAAACTCTGTGAGTTGAAGGCACACATCACAAAGTAGTTTCTGAGAATGATTCTGTCTAGTTTTTATTTGAAGATATTTCCTTTTCTACTGTTGGCATCAAATCGCTTGAAATCTCCACTTGCAAACTCCACAAAAAGAGTGTTTTAAATCTGCTCTGTGCAAAGGGACGTTCCACTCTGTGAGTTGAATACACACAGCACAAAGAAGTTACTGAGAATTCTTCTGTCTAGCATGAAATGAAGAAATCCCGTTTCCAACGAAGGCCTCAATGCGGTCCATATATCCACTTGCAGACTTTACAAACAGAGTGTTTCCAAACTGCTCTATGAAAAGAAAGGTTAAACTATGTGAGTTGAACGCACACATCACAAAGAATTTTCTGAGAATGATTCTGTCTGGTTTTTATTTGAAGATATTTCCCTTTCTACTGTTGGCATCAAATGGCTAGAAATCTCCACTTGCAAATTCCGCAAAAAGAGTGTTTCAAATCTGCTCTGTCTAAAGGGACGTTCCACTCTGTGAGTTGAATGCACACAACACAAAGAATTTACTGAGAATTCTTCCGTCTAGCATTCAATGAAGAAATCCCGTTTCCAACGAAGGCCTCAAACAGGTCCATATATCCACTTGCAGAGTTTACAAACAGTGTGTTTCCAAACTCCTCTATGAAAAGAAAGGTTAAACTCTGTGAGTGGAACGCACACATCACAAAGCACTTTCTGAGAATGATTCTGTCTGGTTATTATACGAAGATATTCCCTTTTCTGCAATTTTCCTCAAATCGCTTGAAATCTCCACCTGAAAATGCCACAGCAAGAGTGTTTCAAATCTGCTCTCTCTAAAGCAAGGTTCAACTCTGTGAGTTGAATACACACAGCACAAAGAAGTTACTGAGAATTCTTCTGTCTAGCATGAAATGAAGAAATCCCGTTTCCAACGAAGGCCTCAATGCGGTCCATATATCCACTTGCAGACTTTACAAACAGAGTGTTTCCAAACTGCTCTATGAAAAGAAAGGTTAAACTATGTGAGTTGAACGCACACATCACAAAGAATTTTCTGAGAATGATTCTGTCTGGTTTTTATTTGAAGATATTTCCCTTTCTACTGTTGGCATCAAATGGCTAGAAATCTCCACTTGCAAATTCCGCAAAAAGAGTGTTTCAAATCTGCTCTGTCTAAAGGGACGTTCCACTCTGTGAGTTGAATGCACACAACACAAAGAATTTACTGAGAATTCTTCCGTCTAGCATTCAATGAAGAAATCCCGTTTCCAACGAAGGCCTCAAACAGGTCCATATATCCAATTGCAGACTTTACAAACAGTGTGTTTCCAAACTCCTCTATGAAAAGAAAGGTTAAACTCTGTGAGTGGAACGAACACATCACAAAGCACTTTCTGAGAATGATTCTGTCTGGTTGTTATACGAAGATATTTCCTTTTCTGCAATTGTCCTCAAATCGCTTGAAATCTCCACCTGAAAATGTCACAGCAAGAGTGTTTCATATCTGCTCTCTCTAAAGCAAGGTTCAACTCTGTGAGTTGAATACACACAACACAGAAAAGTTACTGAGAACTCTTCTTAGTCTAGCATGAAAGGAAGAAACCCCGTTTGCAACGAAGGCCTCAAAGAGGTCCAAATATCCACTTGCAGACATAACAAGCAGAGTGTTTCTAAACTGCTCTAAGAAAAGAAAGGTTAAACTCTGTGAGTTGAAGGCACACATCACAAAGTAGTTTCTGAGAATGATTCTGTCTAGTTTTTATTTGAAGATATTTCCTTTTCTACTGTTGGCATCAAATCGCTTGAAATCTCCACTTGCAAACTCCACAAAAAGAGTGTTTCAAATCTGCTCTGTGTAAAGGGACGTTCCACTCTGTGAGTTGAATACACACAGCACAAAGAAGTTACTGAGAATTCCTCTGTCTAGCATGAAATGAAGAAATCCCGTTTCCAACGAAGGCCTCAATGCGGTCCATATATCCACTTGCAGACTTTACAAACAGAGTGTTTCCAAACTGCTCTATGAAAAGAAAGGTTAAACTATGTGAGTTGAACGCACACATCACAAAGAATTTTCTGAGAATGATTCTGTCTGGTTTTTATTTGAAGATATTTCCCTTTCTACTGTTGGCATCAAATGGCTAGAAATCTCCACTTGCAAATTTCGCAAAAAGAGTGTTTCAAATCTGCTCTGTCTAAAGGGACGTTCCACTCTGTGAGTTGAATGCACACAACACAAAGAATTTACTGAGAATTCTTCCGTCTAGCATTCAATGAAGAAATCCCGTTTCCAACGAAGGCCTCAAACAGGTCCATATATCCACTTGCAGACTTTACAAACAGTGTGTTTCCAAACTCCTCTATGAAAAGAAAGGTTAAACTCTGTGAGTGGAACGCACACATCACAAAGCACTTTCTGAGAATGATTCTGTCTGGTTATTATACGAAGATATTTCCTTTTCTGCAATTGTCCTCAAATCGCTTGAAATCTCCACCTGAAAATGCCACAGCAAGAGTGTTTCAAATCTGCTCTCTCTAAAGCAAGGTTCAACTCTGTGAGTTGAATACACACAACACAAAAAAGTTACTGAGAACTCTTCTTAGTCTAGCATGAAAGGAAGAAACCCCGTTTGCAACGAAGGCCTCAAAGAGGTCCAAATATCCACTTGCAGACATAACAAGCAGAGTGTTTCTAAACTGCTCTAAGAAAAGAAAGGTTAAACTCTGTGAGTTGAAGGCACACATCACAAAGTAGTTTCTGAGAATGATTCTGTCTAGTTTTTATTTGAAGATATTTCCTTTTCTACTGTTGGCATCAAATCGCTTGAAATCTCCACTTGCAAATTCCACAAAAAGAGTGTTTCAAATCTGCTCTGTGCAAAGGGACGTTCCACTCTGTGAGTTGAATACACGCAGCACAAAGAAGTTACTGAGAATTCTTCTGTCTAGCATGAAATGAAGAAATCCCGTTTCCAACGAAGGCCTCAATGCGGTCCATATATCCACTTGCAGACTTTACAAACAGAGTGTTTCCAAACTGCTCTATGAAAAGAAAGGTTAAACTATGTGAGTTGAACGCACACATCACAAAGAATTTTCTGAGAATGATTCTGTCTGGTTTTTATTTGAAGATATTTCCCTTTCTACTGTTGGCATCAAATGGCTAGAAATCTCCACTTGCAAATTCCGCAAAAAGAGTGTTTCAAATCTGCTCTGTCTAAAGGGACGTTCCACTCTGTGAGTTGAATGCACACAACACAAAGAATTTACTGAGAATTCTTCCGTCTAGCATTCAATGAAGAAATCCCGTTTCCAACGAAGGCCTCAAACAGGTCCATATATCCAATTGCAGACTTTACAAACAGTGTGTTTCCAAACTCCTCTATGAAAAGAAAGGTTAAACTCTGTGAGTTGAACGCACACATCACAAAGCACTTTCTGAGAATGATTCTGTGTAGTTTTTATACGAAGATATTTCCTTTTCTGCCATAGGCCTAGAACCGCTTGAAATCTGCACTTGCTAATTCCAAAAACAGAGTGTTTCAACTCTGCTCTCTCTAAAGGAAGGTTCAACTCTGTGAGTTGAATACACACAACACAAAGAAGTTACTGAGAATTCTTCTTAGTCTAGCATGAAAGGAAGAAACCCCGTTTGCAACGAAGGCCTCAAAGAGGTCCAAATATCCACTTGCAGACTTTACAAACAGAGTGTTTCCAAACTGCTTTATGAAAAGAAAGGTTAAACTCTGTGAGTTAAAGGCACACATCACAAAGTAGTTTCTGAGAATGATTCTGTCTAGTTTTTATTTGAGAATTTCCTTTTCTACTGTTGGCATCAAATCGCTTGAAATCTCCACTTGCAAATTCCACAAAAAGAGTGTTTCAAATCTGCTCTGTGCAAAGGGACGTTCCACTCTGTGAGTTGAATACACACAGCACAAAGAAGTTACTGAGAATTCTTCTGTCTAGCATGAAATGAAGAAATCCCGTTTCCAACGAAGGCCTCAATGCGGTCCATATATCCACTTGCAGACTTTACAAACAGAGTGTTTCCAAACTGCTCTATGAAAAGAAAGGTTAAACTATGTGAGTTGAACGCACACATCACAAAGAATTTTCTGAGAATGATTCTGTCTGGTTTTTATTTGAAGATATTTCACTTTCTACTGTTGGCATCAAATGGCTAGAAATCTCCACTTGCAAATTCCGCAAAAACAGTGTTTCAAATCTGCTCTGTCTAAAGGGACGTTCCACTCTGTGAGTTGAATGCACACAACACAAAGAATTTACTGAGAGTTCTTCCGTCTAGCATTATATGATAAAATCCCGTTTCCAACGAAGGCCTCAAACAGGTCCATATATCCACTTGCAGACTTTACAAACAGTGTGTTTCCAAACTCCTCTATGAAAAGAAAGGTTAAACTCTGTGAGTTGAACGCACACATCACAAAGCACTTTCTGAGAATGATTCTGTCTGGTTATTATACGAAGATATTTCCTTTTCTGCAATTGTCCTCAAATCGCTTGAAATCTCCACCTGAAAATGCCACAGCAAGAGTGTTTCAAATCTGCTCTCTCTAAAGCAAGGTTCAACTCTGTGAGTTGAATACACACAACACAAAAAAGTTACTGAGAACTCTTCTTAGTCTAGCATTAAAGGAAGAAACCCCGTTTGCAACGAAGGCCTCAAAGAGGTCCAAATATCCACTTGCAGACATAACAAGCAGAGTGTTTCTAAACTGCTCTAAGAAAAGAAAGGTTAAACTCTGTGAGTTGAAGGCACACATCACAAAGTAGTTTCTGAGAATGATTCTGTCTAGTTTTTATTTGAAGATATTTCCTTTTCTACTGTTGGCATCAAATCGCTTGAAATCTCCACTTGCAAACTCCACAAAAAGAGTGTTTCAAATCTGCTCTGTGCAAAGGGATGTTCCACTCTGTGAGTTGAATACACACAGCACAAAGAAGTTACTGAGAATTCTTCTGTCTAGTATGAAATGAAGAAATCCCGTTTCCAACGAAGGCCTCAATGCGGTCCATATATCCACTTGCAGACTTTACAAACAGAGTGTTTCCAAACTGCTCCATGAAAAGAAAGGTTAAACTATGTGAGTTGAACGCACACATCACAAAGAATTTTCTGAGAATGATTCTGTCTGGTTTTTATTTGAAGATATTTCCCTTTCTACTGTTGGCATCAAATGGCTAGAAATCTCCACTTGCAAATTCCGCAAAAAGAGTGTTTCAAATCTGCTCTGTCTAAAGGGACGTTCCACTCTGTGAGTTGAATGCACACAACACAAAGAATTTACTGAGAATTCTTCCGTCTAGCATTCAATGAAGAAATCCCGTTTCCAACGAAGGCCTCAAACAGGTCCATATATCCAATTGCAGACTTTACAAACACTGTGTTTCCAAACTCCTCTATGAAAAGAAAGGTTAAACTCTGTGAGTTGAACGCACACATCACAAAGCACTTTCTGAGAATGATTCTGTCTGGTTATTATACGAAGATATTTCCTTTTCTGCAATTGTCCTCAAATCGCTTGAAATCTCCACCTGAAAATGCCACAGCAAGAGTGTTTCAAATCTGCTCTCTCTAAAGCAAGGTTCAACTCTGTGAGTTGAATACACACAACACAAAAAAGTTACTGAGAACTCTTCTTAGTCTAGCATGAAAGGAAGAAACCCCGTTTGCAACGAAGGCCTCAAAGAGGTCCAAATATCCACTTGCAGACATAACAAGCAGAGTGTTTCTAAACTGCTCTAAGAAAAGAAAGGTTAAACTCTGTGAGTTGAAGGCACACATCACAAAGTAGTTTCTGAGAATGATTCTGTCTAGTTTTTATTTGAAGATATTTCCTTTTCTACTGTTGGCATCAAATCGCTTGAAATCTCCACTTGCAAACTCCACAAAAAGAGTGTTTCAAATCTGCTCTGTGTAAAGGGACGTTCCACTCTGTGAGTTGAATACACACAGCACAAAGAAGTTACTGAGAATTCTTCTGTCTAGCATGAAATGAAGAAATCCCGTTTCCAACGAAGGCCTCAATGCGGTCCATATATCCACTTGCAGACTTTACAAACAGAGTGTTTCCAAACTGCTCTATGAAAAGAAAGGTTAAACTATGTGAGTTGAACGCACACATCACAAAGAATTTTCTGAGAATGATTCTGTCTGGTTTTTATTTGAAGATATTTCCCTTTCTACTGTTGGCATCAAATGGCTAGAAATCTCCACTTGCAAATTCCGCAAAAAGAGTGTTTCAAATCTGCTCTGTCTAAAGGGACGTTCCACTCTGTGAGTTGAATGCACACAACACAAAGAATTTACTGAGAATTCTTCCGTCTAGCATTCAATGAAGAAATCCCGTTTCCAACGAAGGCCTCAAACAGGTCCATATATCCACTTGCAGACTTTACAAACAGTGTGTTTCCAAACTCCTCTATGAAAAGAAAAGTTAAACTCTGTGAGTTGAACGCACACATCAAAAAGCACTTTCTGAGAATGATTCTGTCTGGTTATTATACGAAGATATTTCCTTTTCTGCAATTGTCCTCAAATCGCTTGAAATCTCCACCTGAAAATGCCACAGCAAGAGTGTTTCAAATCTGCTCTCTCTAAAGCAAGGTTCAACTCTGTGAGTTGAATACACACAACACAAAAAAGTTACTGAGAACTCTTCTTAGTCTAGCATGAAAGGAAGAAACCCCGTTTGCAACGAAGGCCTCAAAGAGGTCCAAATATCCACTTGCAGACATAACAAGCAGAGTGTTTCTAAACTGCTCTAAGAAAAGAAAGGTTAAACTCTGTGAGTTGAAGGCACACATCACAAAGTAGTTTCTGAGAATGATTCTGTCTAGTTTTTATTTGAAGATATTTCCTTTTCTACTGTTGGCATCAAATCGCTTGAAATCTCCACTTGCAAACTCCACAAAAAGAGTGTTTAAAATCTGCTCTGTGCAAAGGGACGTTCCACTCTGTGAGTTGAATACACACAGCACAAAGAAGTTACTGAGAATTCTTCTGTCTAGCATGAAATGAAGAAATCCCGTTTCCAACGAAGGCCTCAATGCGGTCCATATATCCACTTGCAGACTTTACAAACAGAGTGTTTCCAAACTGCTCTATGAAAAGAAAGGTTAAACTATGTGAGTTGAACGCACACATCACAAAGAATTTTCTGAGAATGATTCTGTCTGGTTTTTATTTGAAGATATTTCCCTTTCTACTGTTGGCATCAAATGGCTAGAAATCTCCACTTGCAAATTCCGCAAAAAGAGTGTTTCAAATCTGCTCTGTCTAAAGGGACGTTCCACTCTGTGAGTTGAATGCACACAACACAAAGAATTTACTGAGAATTCTTCCGTCTAGCATTCAATGAAGAAATCCCGTTTCCAACGAAGGCCTCAAACAGGTCCATATATCCAATTGCAGACTTTACAAACAGTGTGTTTCCAAACTCCTCTATGAAAAGAAAGGTTAAACTCTGTGAGTTGAACGCACACATCACAAAGCACTTTCTGAGAATGATTCTGTCTAGTTTTTATTTGAAGATATTTCCCTTTCTACTGTTGGCATCAAATGGCTAGAAATCTCCACTTGCAACTTCCGCAAAAAGAGTGTTTCAAATCTGCTCTGTCTAAAGGGACGTTCCACTGTGTGAGTTGAATGCACACAACACAAAGAATTTACTGAGAATTCTTCCGTCTAGCATTCAATGAAGAAATCCCGTTTCCAACGAAGGCCTCAAACAGCTCCATATATCCACTTGCAGACGTTACAAACAGTGTGTTTCCAAACTCCTCTATGAAAAGAAAGGTTAAACTCTGTGAGTTGAACGCACACATCACAAAGCACTTTCTGAGAATGATTCTGTCTGGTTATTATACGAAGATATTTCCTTTTCTGCAATTGTCCTCAAATCGCTTGAAATCTCCACCTGAAAATGCCACAGCAAGAGTGTTTCAAATCTGCTCTCTCTAAAGCAAGGTTCAACTCTGTGAGTTGAATACACACAACACAAAAAAGTTACTGAGAACTCTTCTTAGTCTAGCATGAAAGGAAGAAACCCCGTTTGCAACGAAGGCCTCAAAGAGGTCCAAATATCCACTTGCAGACATAACAAGCAGAGTGTTTCTAAACTGCTCTAAGAAAAGAAAGGTTAAACTCTGTGAGTTGAAGGCACACATCACAAAGTAGTTTCTGAGAATGATTCTGTCTAGTTTTTATTTGAAGATATTTCCTTTTCTACTGTTGGCATCAAATCGCTTGAAATCTCCACTTGCAAATTACACAAAAAGAGTGTTTCAAATCTGTTCTGTGTAAAGGAACGTTCCACTCTGTGAGTTGAATACACACAGCACAAAGAAGTTACTGAGAATTCTTCTGTCTAGCATGAAATGAAGAAATCCCGTTTCCAACGAAGGCCTCAATGCGGTCCATATATCCACTTGCAGACTTTACAAACAGAGTGTTTCCAAACTGCTCTATGAAAAGAAAGGTTAAACTATGTGAGTTGAACGCACACATCACAAAGAATTTTCTGAGAATGATTCTGTCTGGTTTTTATTTGAAGATATTTCCCTTTCTACTGTTGGCATCAAATGGCTAGAAATCTCCACTTGCAAATTCCGCAAAAAGAGTGTTTCAAATCTGCTCTGTCTAAAGGGACGTTCCACTCTGTGAGTTGAATGCACACAACATAAAGAATTTACTGAGAATTCTTCCGTCTAGCAGTCAATGAAGAAATCCCGTTTCCAACGAAGGCCTCAAACAGGTCCATATATCCAATTGCAGACTTTACAAACAGTGTGTTTCCAAACTCCTCTATGAAAAGAAAGGTTAAACTCTGTGAGTTGAACGCACACATCACAAAGCACTTTCTGAGAATGATTCTGTCTGGTTATTATACGAAGATATTTCCTTTTCTGCAATTGTCCTCAAATCGCTTGAAATCTCCACCTGAAAATGCCACAGCAAGAGTGTTTCAAATCTGCTCTCTCTAAAGCAAGGTTCAACTCTGTGAGTTGAATACACACAACACAAAAAAGTTACTGAGAACTCTTCTTAGTCTAGCATGAAAGGAAGAAACCCCGTTTGCAACGAAGGCCTCAAAGAGGTCCAAATATCCACTTGCAGACATAACAAGCAGAGTGTTTCTAAACTGCTCTAAGAAAAGAAAGGTTAAACTCTGTGAGTTGAAGGCACACATCACAAAGTAGTTTCTGAGAATGATTCTGTCTAGTTTTTATTTGAAGATATTTCCTTTTCTACTGTTGGCATCAAATCGCTTGAAATCTCCACTTGCAAATTCCACAAAAAGAGTGTTTCAAATCTTCTCTGTGTAAAGGAACGTTCCACTCTGTGAGTTGAATACACACAGCACAAAGAAGTTACTGAGAATTCTTCTGTCTAGCATGAAATGAAGAAATCCCGTTTCCAACGAAGGCCTCAATGCGGTCCATATATCCACTTGCAGACTTTACAAACAGAGTGTTTCCAAACTGCTCTATGAAAAGAAAGGTAAAACTATGTGAGTTGAACGCACACATCACAAAGAATTTTCTGAGAATGATTCTGTCTGGTTTTTATTTGAAGATATTTCCCTTTCTACTGTTGGCATCAAATGGCTAGAAATCTCCACTTGCAAATTCCGCAAAAAGAGTGTTTCAAATCTGCTCTGTCTAAAGGGACGTTCCACTCTGTGAGTTGAATGCACACAACACAAAGAATTTACTGAGAATTCTTCCGTCTAGCATTCAATGAAGAAATCCCGTTTCCAAAGAAGGCCTCAAACAGGTCCATATATCCAATTGCAGACTTTACAAACAGTGTGTTTCCAAACTCCTCTATGAAAAGAAAGGTTAAACTCTGTGAGTTGAACGCACACATCACAAAGCACTTTCTGAGAATGATTCTGTCTGGTTATTATACGAAGATATTTCCTTTTCTGCAATTGTCCTCAAATCGCTTGAAATCTCCACCTGAAAATGCCACAGCAAGAGTGTTTCAAATCTGCTCTCTCTAAAGCAAGGTTCAACTCTGTGAGTTGAATACACACAACACAAAAAAGTTACTGAGAACTCTTCTTAGTCTAGCATGAAAGGAAGAAACCCCGTTTGCAACGAAGGCCTCAAAGAGGTCCAAATATCCACTTGCAGACATAACAAGCAGAGTGTTTCTAAACTGCTCTAAGAAAAGAAAGGTTAAACTCTGTGAGTTGAAGGCACACATCACAAAGTAGTTTCTGAGAATGATTCTGTCTAGTTTTTATTTGAAGATATTTCCTTTTCTACTGTTGGCATCAAATCGCTTGAAATCTCCACTTGCAAACTCCACAAAAAGAGTGTTTCAAATCTGCTCTGTGCAAAGGGACGTTCCACTCTGTGAGTTGAATACACACAGCACAAAGAAGTTACTGAGAATTCTTCTGTCTAGCATGAAATGAAGAAATCCCGTTTCCAACGAAGGCCTCAATGCGGTCCATATATCCACTTGCAGACTTTACAAACAGAGTGTTTCCAAACTGCTCTATGAAAAGAAAGGTTAAACTATGTGAGTTGAACGCACACATCACAAAGAATTTTCTGAGAATGATTCTGTCTGGTTTTTATTTGAAGATATTTCCCTTTCTACTGTTGGCATCAAATGGCTAGAAATCTCCACTTGCAAATTCCGCAAAAAGAGTGTTTCAAATCTGCTCTGTCTAAAGGGACGTTCCACTCTGTGAGTTGAATGCACACAACACAAAGAATTTACTGAGAATTCTTCCGTCTAGCATTCAATGAAGAAATCCCGTTTCCAACGAAGGCCTCAAACAGGTCCATATATCCACTTGCAGACTTTACAAACAGTGTGTTTCCAAACTCCTCTATGGAAAGAAAAGTTAAACTCTGTGAGTTGAACGCACACATCACAAAGCACTTTCTGAGAATGATTCTGTCTGGTTATTATACGAAGATATTTCCTTTTCTGCAATTGTCCTCAAAACGCTTGAAATCTCCACCTGAAAATGCCACAGCAAGAGTGTTTCAAATCTGCTCTCTCTAAAGCAAGGTTCAACTCTGTGAGTTGAATACACACAACACAAAAAAGTTACTGAGAACTCTTCTTAGTCTAGCATGAAAGGAAGAAACCCCGTTTGCAACGAAGGCCTCAAAGAGGTCCAAATATCCACTTGCAGACATAACAAGCAGAGTGTTTCTAAACTGCTCTAAGAAAAGAAAGGTTAAACTCTGTGAGTTGAAGGCACACATCACAAAGTAGTTTCTGAGAATGATTCTGTCTAGTTTTTATTTGAAGATATTTCCTTTTCTACTGTTGGCATCAAATCGCTTGAAATCTCCACTTGCAAACTCCACAAAAAGAGTGTTTCAAATCTGCTCTGTGCAAAGGGACGTTCCACTCTGTGAGTTGAATACACACAGCACAAAGAAGTTACTGAGAATTCTTCTGTCTAGCATGAAATGAAGAAATCCCGTTTCCAACGAAGGCCTCAATGCGGTCCATATATCCACTTGCAGACTTTACAAACAGAGTGTTTCCAAACTGCTCTATGAAAAGAAAGGTTAAACTATGTGAGTTGAACGCACACATCACAAAGAATTTTCTGAGAATGATTCTGTCTGGTTTTTATTTGAAGATATTTCCCTTTCTACTGTTGGCATCAAATGGCTAGAAATCTCCACTTGCAAATTCCGCAAAAAGAGTGTTTCAAATCTGCTCTGTCTAAAGGGACGTTCCACTCTGTGAGTTGAATGCACACAACACAAAGAATTTACTGAGAATTCATCCGTCTAGCATTCAATGAAGAAATCCCGTTTCCAACGAAGGCCTCAAACAGGTCCATATATCCACTTGCAGAGTTTACAAACAGTGTGTTTCCAAACTCCTCTATGAAAAGAAAGGTTAAACTCTGTGAGTGGAACGCACACATCACAAAGCACTTTCTGAGAATGATTCTGTCTGGTTATTATACGAAGATATTTCTTTTTCTGCAATTGTCCTCAAATCGCTTGAAATCTCCACCTGAAAATGCCACAGCAAGAGTGTTTCAAATCTGCTCTCTCTAAAGCAAGGTTCAACTCTGTGAGTTGAATACACACAACACAAAAAAGTTACTGAGAACTCTTCTTAGTCTAGCATGAAAGGAAGAAACCCCGTTTGCAACGAAGGCCTCAAAGAGGTCCAAATATCCACTTGCAGACATAACAAGCAGAGTGTTTCTAAACTGCTCTAAGAAAAGAAAGGTTAAACTCTGTGAGTTGAAGGCACACATCACAAAGTAGTTTCTGAGAATGATTCTGTCTAGTTTTTATTTGAAGATATTTCCTTTTCTACTGTTGGCATCAAATCGCTTGAAATCTCCACTTGCAAACTCCACAAAAAGAGTGTTTCAAATCTGCTCTGTGTAAAGGGACGTTCCACTCTGTGAGTTGAATACACACAGCACAAAGAAGTTACTGAGAATTCTTCTGTCTAGCATGAAATGAAGAAATCCCGTTTCCAACGAAGGCCTCAATGCGGTCCATATATCCACTTGCAGACTTTACAAACAGAGTGTTTCCAAACTGCTCTATGAAAAGAAAGGTTAAACTATGTGAGTTGAACGCACACATCACAAAGAATTTTCTGAGAATGATTCTGTCTGGTTTTTATTTGAAGATATTTCCCTTTCTACTGTTGGCATCAAATGGCTAGAAATCTCCACTTGCAAATTCCGCAAAAAGAGTGTTTCAAATCTGCTCTGTCTAAAGGGACGTTCCACTCTGTGAGTTGAATGCACACAACACAAAGAATTTACTGAGAATTCTTCTGCCTAGCATTCAATGAAGAAATCCCGTTTCCAACGAAGGCCTCAAACAGGTCCATATATCCAATTGCAGACTTTACAAACAGTGTGTTTCCAAACTCCTCTATGAAAAGAAAGGTTAAACTCTGTGAGTTGAACGCACACATCACAAAGCACTTTCTGAGAATGATTCTGTCTGGTTATTATACGAAGATATTTCCTTTTCTGCAATTGTCCTCAAATCGCTTGAAATCTCCACCTGAAAATGCCACAGCAAGAGTGTTTCAAATCTGCTCTCTCTAAAGCAAGGTTCAACTCTGTGAGTTGAATACACACAACACAAAAAAGTTACTGAGAACTCTTCTTAGTCTAGCATGAAAGGAAGAAACCCCGTTTGCAACGAAGGCCTCAAAGAGGTCCAAATATCCACTTGCAGACATAACAAGCAGAGTGTTTCTAAACTGCTCTAAGAAAAGAAAGGTTAAACTCTGTGAGTTGAAGGCACACATCACAAAGTAGTTTCTGAGAATGATTCTGTCTAGTTTTTATTTGAAGATATTTCCTTTTCTACTGTTGGCATCAAATCGCTTGAAATCTCCACTTGCAAACGACACAAAAAGAGTGTTTCAAATCTGCTCTGTGTAAAGGGACGTTCCACTCTGTGAGTTGAATACACACAGCACAAAGAAGTTGCTGAGAATTCTTCTGTCTAGCATGAAATGAAGAAATCCCGTTTCCAACGAAGGCCTCCATGCGGTCCATATATCCACTTGCAGACTTTACAAACAGAGTGTTTCCAAACTGCTCTATGAAAAGAAAGGTTAAACTATGTGAGTTGAACGCACACATCACAAAGAATTTTCTGAGAATGATTCTGTCTGGTTTTTATTTGAAGATATTTCCCTTTCTACTGTTGGCATCAAATGGCTAGAAATCTCCACTTGCAAATTCCGCAAAAAGGGGTTTCAAATCTGCTCTGTCTAAAGGGACGTTCCACTCTGTGAGTTGAATGCACACAACACAAAGAATTTACTGAGAATTCTTCCGTCTAGCATTCAATGAAGAAATCCCGTTTCCAACGAAGGCCTCAAACAGGTCCATATATCCACTTGCAGACTTTACAAACAGTGTGTTTCCAAACTCCTCTATGAAAAGAAAGGTTAAACTCTGTGAGTGGAACGCACACATCACAAAGCACTTTCTGAGAATGATTCTGTCTGGTTGTTATACGAAGATATTTCCTTTTCTGCAATTGTCCTCAAATCGCTTGAAATCTCCACCTGAAAATGCCACAGCAAGAGTGTTTCAAATCTGCTCTCTCTAAAGCAAGGTTCAACTCTGTGAGTTGAATACACACAGCACAAAAAAGTTACTGAGAACTCTTCTTAGTCTAGCATGAAAGGAAGAAACCCCGTTTGCAACGAAGGCCTCAAAGAGGTCCAAATATCCACTTGCAGACATAACAAGCAGAGTGTTTCTAAACTGCTCTAAGAAAAGAAAGGTTAAACTCTGTGAGTTGAAGGCACACATCACAAAGTAGTTTCTGAGAATGGTTCTGTCTAGTTTTTATTTGAAGATATTTCCTTTTCTACTGTTGGCATCAAATCGCTTGAAATCTCCACTTGCAAATTCCACAAAAAGAGTGTTTCAAATCTGCTCTGTGCAAAGGGACGTTCCAGTCTGTGAGTTGAATACACACAGCACAGAGAAGTTACTGAGAATTCTTCTGTCTAGCATGAAATGAAGAAATCCCGTTTCCAACGAAGGCCTCAATGCGGTCCATATATCCACTTGCAGACTTTACAAACAGAGTGTTTCCAAACTGCTCTATGAAAAGAAAGGTTAAACTATGTGAGTTGAACGCACACATCACAAAGAATTTTCTGAGAATGATTCTGTCTGGTTTTTATTTGAAGATATTTCCCTTTCTACTGTTGGCATCAAATGGCTAGAAATCTCCACTTGCAAATTCCGCAAAAAGAGTGTTTCAAATCTGCTCTGTCTAAAGGGACGTTCCACTCTGTGAGTTGAATGCACACAACACAAAGAATTTACTGAGAATTCTTCCGTCTAGCATTCAATGAAGAAATCCCGTTTCCAACGAAGGCCTCAAACAGGTCCATATATCCAATTGCAGACTTTACAAACAGTGTGTTTCCAAACTCCTTTATGAAAAGAAAGGTTAACTCTGTGAGTTGAATGCACACATCACAAAGCACTTTCTGATAATGATTCTGTCTAGTTTTTGTTTGCAGATATTTCCTTTTCTACTGTTGGCATCAAATCGCTTGAAATCTCCACTTGCAAATTCCACAAAAAGAGTGTTTCAAATCTGCTCTGTGTAAAGGGACGTTCCAATCTGTGAGTTGAATACACACAACACAAAGAAGTTACTGAGAATTCTTCTGTCTAGCATGAAATGAAGAAATCCCGTTTCCAACGAAGGCCTCAAAGCGGTCCATATATCCACTTGCAGACATTACCAACAGAGTGTTCCCAAACTGCTCTATGAAAAGAAAGGTTAAACTATGTGAGTTGAACGCACACATCACAAAGAATTTTCTGAGAATGATTCTGTCTAGTTTTTATTTGAAGATATTTCCCTTTCTACTGTTGGCATCAAATGGCTAGAAATCTCCACTTGCAAATTCCGGAAAAAGAGTGTTTCAAATGTGCTCTGTCTAAAGGGACGTTCCACTCTGTGAGTTGAATGCACACAACACAAAGAACTTACTGAGAATTCTTTCGTCTAGCATTATATGATAAAATCCCGTTTCCAACGAAGGCCTCAAACAGGTCCATATATCCACTTGCAGACTTTACAAACAGTGTGTTTCCAAACTCCTCTATGAAAAGAAAGGTTAAACTCTGTGAGTTGAACGCACACATCACAAAGCACTTTCTGAGAATGATTCTGTCTGGTTATTATACGAAGATATTTCCTTTTCTGCAATTGTCCTCAAATCGCTTGAAATCTCCACCTGAAAATGCCACAGCAAGAGTGTTTCAAATCTGCTCTCTCTAAAGCAAGGTTCACCTCTGTGAGTTGAATACACACAACACAAAAAAGTTACTGAGAACTCTTCTTAGTCTAGCATTAAAGGAAGAAACCCCGTTTGCAACGAAGGCCTCAAAGAGGTCCAAATATCCACTTGCAGACATAACAAGCAGAGTGTTTCTAAACTGCTCTAAGAAAAGAAAGGTTAAACTCTGTGAGTTGAAGGCACACATCACAAAGTAGTTTCTGAGAATGATTCTGTCTAGTTTTTATTTGAAGATATTTCCTTTTCTACTGTTGGCATCAAATCGCTTGAAATCTCCACTTGCAAATTCCACAAAAAGAGTGTTTCAAATCTGCTCTGTGCAAAGGGACGTTCCACTCTGTGAGTTGAATACACACAGCACAAAGAAGTTACTGAGAATTCTTCTGTCTAGCATGAAATGAAGAAATCCCGTTTCCAACGAAGGCCTCAATGCGGTCCATATATCCACTTGCAGACTTTACAAACAGAGTGTTTCCAAACTGCTCTATGAAAAGAAAGGTTAAACTATGTGAGTTGAACGCACACATCACAAAGAATTTTCTGAGAATGATTCTGTCTGGTTTTTATTTGAAGATATTTCCCTTTCTACTGTTGGCATCAAATGGCTAGAAATCTCCACTTGCAAATTCCGCAAAAAGAGTGTTTCAAATCTGCTCTGTCTAAAGGGACGTTCCACTCTGTGAGTTGAATGCACACAACACAAAGAATTTACTGAGAATTCTTCCGTCTAGCATTCAATGAAGAAATCCCGTTTCCAACGAAGGCCTCAAACACGTCCATATATCCACTTGCAGACTTTACAAACAGTGTGTTTCCAAACTCCTCTATGAAAAGAAAGGTTAAACTCTGTGAGTTGAACGCACACATCACAAAGCACTTTCTGAGAATGATTCTTTCTGGTTATTATACGAAGATATTTCCTTTTCTGCAATTGTCCTCAAATCGCTTGAAATCTCCACCTGAAAATGTCACAGCAAGAGTGTTTCAAATCTGCTCTCTCTAAAGCAAGGTTCAACTCTGTGAGTTGAATACACACAACACAAAAAAGTTACTGAGAACTCTTCTTAGTCTAGCATGAAAGGAAGAAACCCCGTTTGCAACGAAGGCCTCAAAGAGGTCCAAATATCCACTTGCAGACATAACAAGCAGAGTGTTTCTAAACTGCTCTAAGAAAAGAAAGGTTAAACTCTGTGAGTTGAAGGCACACATCACAAAGTAGTTTCTGAGAATGATTCTGTCTAGTTTTTATTTGAAGATATTTCCTTTTCTACTGTTGGCATCAAATCGCTTGAAATCTCCACTTGCAAATTCCACAAAAAGAGTGTTTCAAATCTGCTCTGTGTAAAGGGACGTTCCACTCTGTGAGTTGAATACACACAGCACAAAGAAGTTACTGAGAATTCTTCTGTCTAGCATGAAATGAAGAAATCCCGTTTCCAACGAAGGCCTCAATGCGGTCTATATATCCACTTGCAGACTTTACAAACAGAGTGTTTCCAAACTGCTCTATGAAAAGAAAGGTTAAACTATGTGAGTTGAACGCACACATCACAAAGAATTTTCTGAGAATGATTCTGTCTGGTTTTTATTTGAAGATATTTCCCTTTCTACTGTTGGCATCAAATGGCTAGAAATCTCCACTTGGAAATTCCGCAAAAAGAGTGTTTCAAATCTGCTGTGTCTAAAGGGACGTTCCACTCTGTGAGTTGAATGCACACAACACAAAGAATTTACTGAGAATTCTTCCGTCTAGCATTCAATGAAGAAATCCCGTTTCCAACGAAGGGCCTCAAACAGGTCCATATATCCACTTGCAGACTTTACAAACAGTGTGTTTCCAAACTCCTCTATGAAAAGAAAGGTTAAACTCTGTGAGTTGAACGCACACATCACAAAGCACTTTCTGAGAATGATTCTGTCTGGTTATTATACGAAGATATTTCCTTTTCTGCAATTGTCCTCAAATCGCTTGAAATCTCCACCTGAAAATGCCACAGCAAGAGTGTTTCAAATCTGCTCTCTCTAAAGCAAGGTTCAACTCTGTGAGTTGAATACACACAACACAAAAAAGTTACTGAGAACTCTTCTTAGTCTAGCATGAAAGGAAGAAACCCCGTTTGCAACGAAGGCCTCAAAGAGGTCCAAATATCCACTTGCAGACATAACAAGCAGAGTGTTTCTAAACTGCTCTAAGAAAAGAAAGGTTAAACTCTGAGTTGAAGGCACACATCACAAAGTAGTTTCTGAGAATGATTCTGTCTAGTTTTTATTTGAAGATATTTCCTTTTCAACTGTTGGCAACAAATCGCTTGAAATCTCCACTTGCAAATTCCACAAAAAGAGTGTTTCAAATCTGCTCTGTGTAAAGGGACGTTCCAATCTGTGAGTTGAATACACACAACACAAAGAAGTTACTGAGAATTCTTCTGTCTAGCATGAAATGAAGAAATCCCGTTTCCAACGAAGGCCTCAAAGCGGTCCATATATCCACTTGCAGACATTACCAACAGAGTGTTTTCAAACTGCTCTATGAAAAGAAAGGTTAAACTATGTGAGTTGAACGCACACATCACAAAGAATTTTCTGAGAATGATTCTGTCTAGTTTTTATTTGAAGATATTTCCCTTTCTACAGTTGGCATCTAATGGCTTGAAATCTCCACTTGCAAATTCCGCAAAAAGAGTGTTTCAAATCTGCTCTGTCTAAAGGGACGTTCCACTCTGTGAGTTGAATGCACACAACAAAAAGAATTTACTGAGAATTCTTCCGTCTAGCATTATATGATAAAATCCCGTTTCCAACGAAGGCCTCAAACAGGTCCATATATCCACTTGCAGACTTTACAAACAGTGTGTTTCCAAACTCCCCTATGAAAAGAAAGGTTAAGCTCTGTGAGTTGAACACACGCATCACAAAGCACTTTCTGAGAATGATTCTGTCTGGTTGTTATACGAAGATATTTCCTTTTCTGCAATTGTCCTCAAATCGCTTGAAATCTCCACCTGAAAATGCCACAGCAAGAGTGTTTCAAATCTGCTCTCTCTAAAGCAAGGTTCAACTCTGTGAGTTGAATACACACAACACAAAAAAGTTACTGAGAACTCTTCTTAGTCTAGCATTAAAGGAAGAAACCCCGTTTGCAACGAAGGCCTCAAAGAGGTCCAAATATCCACTTGCAGACATAACAAGCAGAGTGTTTCTAAACTGCTCTAAGAAAAGAAAGGTTAAACTCTGTGAGTTGAAGGCACACATCACAAAGTAGTTTCTAAATGATTCTGTCTAGTTTTTATTTGAAGATATTTCCTTTTCTACTGTTGGCATCAAATCGCTTGAAATCTCCACCTGCAAATTCCACAAAGAGTGTTTCAAATCTGCTCTGTGCAAAGGGACGTTCCACTCTGTGAGTTGAATACACACAGCACAAAGAAGTTACTGAGAATTCTTCTGTCTAGCATGAAATGAAGAAATCCCGTTTCCAACGAAGGCCTCAATGCGGTCCATATATCCACTTGCAGACTTTACAAACAGAGTGTTTCCAAACTGCTCTATGAAAAGAAAGGTTAAACTATGTGAGTTGAACGCACACATCACAAAGAATTTTCTGAGAATGATTCTGTCTGGTTTTTATTTGAAGATATTTCCCTTTCTACTGTTGGCCATCAAATGGCTAGAAATCTCCACTTGCAAATTCCGCAAAAAGAGTGTTTCAAATCTGCTCTGTCTAAAGGGACGTTCCACTCTGTGAGTTGAATGCACACAACACAAAGAATTTACTGAGAATTCTTCCGTCTAGCATTCAATGAAGAAATCCCGTTTCCAAAGAAGGCCTCAAACAGGTCCATATATCCAATTGCAGACTTTACAAACAGTGTGTTTCCAAACTCCTCTATGAAAAGAAAGGTTAAACTCTGTGAGTTGAACGCACACATCACAAAGCACTTTGTGAGAATGATTCTCTCTGGTTATTATACGAAGATATTTCCTTTTCTGCAATTGTCCTCAAATCGCTTGAAATCTCCACCTGAAAATGCCACAGCAAGAGTGTTTCAAATCTGCTCTCTCTAAAGCAAGGTTCAACTCTGTGAGTTGAATACACACAACACAAAAAAGTTACTGAGAACTCTTCTTAGTCTAGCATTAAAGGAAGAAACGCCGTTTGCAACGAAGGCCTCAAAGAGGTCCAAATATCCACTTGCAGACATAACAAGCAGAGTGTTTCTAAACTGCTCTAAGAAAAGAAAGGTTAAACTCTGTGAGTTGAAGGCACACATCACAAAGTAGTTTCTGAGAATGATTCTGTCTAGTTTTTATTTGAAGATATTTCCTTTTCTACTGTTGGCATCAAATCGCTTGAAATCTCCACTTGCAAACTCCACAAAAAGAGTGTTTCAAATCTGCTCTGTGCAAAGGGACGTTCCACTCTGTGAGTTGAATACACACAGCACAAAGAAGTTACTGAGAATTCTTCTGTCTAGCATGAAATGGAGAAATCCCGTTTCCAACGAACGCCTCAATGCGGTCCATATATCCACTTGCAGACTTTACAAACAGAGTGTTTTCAAACTGCTCTATGAAAAGAAAGGTTAAACTATGTGATTTGAACGCACACATCACAAAGAATTTTCTGAGAATGATTCTGTCTGGTTTTTATTTGAAGATATTTCCCTTTCTACTGTTGGCATCAAATGGCTAGAAATCTCCACTTGCAAATTCCGCAAAAAGAGTGTTTCAAATCTGCTCTGTCTAAAGGGACGTTCCACTCTGTGAGTTGAATGCACACAACACAAAGAATTTACTGAGAATTCTTCCGTCTAGCATTCAATGAAGAAATCCCGTTTCCAACGAAGGCCTCAAACAGGTCCATATATCCACTTGCAGACTTTACAAACAGTGTGTTTCCAAACTCCTCTATGAAAAGAAAGGTTAAACTCTGTGAGTTGAACGCACACATCACAAAGCACTTTCTGAGAATGATTCTGTCTGGTTATTATACGAAGATATTTCCTTTTCTGCAATTGTCCTCAAATCGCTTGAAATCTCCACCTGAAAATGCCACAGCAAGAGTGTTTCAAATCTGCTCTCTCTAAAGCAAGGTTCAACTCTGTGAGTTGAATACACACAACACAAAAAAGTTACTGAGAACTCTTCTTAGTCTAGCATGAAAGGAAGAAACCCCGTTTGCAACGAAGGCCTCAAAGAGGTCCAAATATCCACTTGCAGACATAACAAGCAGAGTGTTTCTAAACTGCTCTAAGAAAAGAAAGGTTAAACTCTGTGAGTTGAAGGCACACATCACAAAGTAGTTTCTGAGAATGATTCTGTCTAGTTTTTATTTGAAGATATTTCCTTTTCTACTGTTGGCATCAAATCGCTTGAAATCTCCACTTGCAAACTCCACAAAAAGAGTGTTTCAAATCCGCTCTGTGCAAAGGGACGTTCCACTCTGTGAGTTGAATACACACAGCACAAAGAAGTTACTGAGAATTCTTCTGTCTAGCATGAAATGAAGAAATCCCGTTTCCAACGAAGGCCTCAATGCGGTCCATATATCCACTTGCAGACTTTACAAACAGAGTGTTTCCAAACTGCTCTATGAAAAGAAAGGTTAAACTATGTGAGTTGAACGCACACATCACAATGAATTTTCTGAGAATGATTCTGTCTGGTTTTTATTTGAAGATATTTCCCTTTCTACTGTTGGCATCAAATGGCTAGAAATCTCCACTTGCAAATTCCGCAAAAAGAGTGTTTCAAATCTGCTCTGTCTAAAGGGACGTTCCACTCTGTGAGTTGAATGCACACAACACAAAGAATTTACTGAGAATTCTTCCGTCTAGCATTCAATGAAGAAATCCCGTTTCCAACGAAGGCCTCAAACAGGTCCATATATCCACTTGCAGACTTTACAAACAGTGTGTTTCCAAACTCCTCTATGAAAAGAAAGGTTAAACTCTGTGAGTGGAACGCACACATCACAAAGCACTTTCTGAGAATGATTCTGTCTGGTTATTATTTGAAGATATTTCCTTTTCTGCAATTGTCCTCAAATCGCTTGAAATCTCCACCTGAAAATGCCACAGCAAGAGTGTTTCAAATCTGCTCTCTCTAAAGCAAGGTTCAACTCTGTGAGTTGAATACACACAGCACAAAGAAGTTACTGAGAATTCTTCTGTCTAGCATGAAATGAAGAAATCCCGTTTCCAACGAAGGCCTCAATGCGGTCCATATATCCACTTGCAGACTTTACAAACAGAGTGTTTCCAAACTGCTCTATGAAAAGAAAGGTTAAACTATTTGAGTTGAACGCACACATCACAAAGAATTTTCTGAGAATGATTCTGTCTGGTTTTTATTTGAAGATATTTCCCTTTCTACTGTTGGCATCAAATGGCTAGAAATCTCCACTTGCAAATTCCGCAAAAAGAGTGTTTCAAATCTGCTCTGTCTAAAGGGACGTTCCACTCTGTCAGTTGAATGCACACAACACAAAGTATTTACTGAGAATTCTTCCGTCTAGCATGCAATGAAGAAATCCCGTTTCCAACGAAGGCCTCAAACAGGTCCATATATCCAATTGCAGACTTTACAAACAGTGTGTTTCCAAACTCCTCTATGAAAAGAAAGGTTAAACTCTGTGAGTTGAACGCACACATCACAAAGCACTTTCTGAGAATGATTCTGTCTGGTTGTTATACGAAGATATTTCCTTTTCTGCAATTGTCCTCAAATCGCTTGAAATCTCCACCTGAAAATGCCACAGCAAGAGTGTTTCAAATCTGCTCTCTCTAAAGCAAGGTTCAGCTCTGTGAGTTGAATACACACAACACAAAAAAGTTACTGAGAACTCTTCTTAGTCTAGCATTAAAGGAAGAAACCCCGTTTGCAACGAAGGCCTCAAAGAGGTCCAAATATCCACTTGCAGACATAACAAGCAGAGTGTTTCTAAACTGCTCTAAGAAAAGAAAGGTTAAACTCTGTGAGTTGAAGGCACACATCACAAAGTAGTTTCTGAGAATGATTCTGTCTAGTTTTTATTTGAAGATATTTCCTTTTCTACTGTTGGCATCAAATCACTTGAAATCTCCACTTGCAAACTCCACAAAAAGAGTGTTTCAAATCTGCTCTGTGCAAAGGGACGTTCCACTCTGTGAGTTGAATACACACAGCACAAAGAAGTTACTGAGAATTCTTCTGTCTAGCATGAAATGAAGAAATCCCGTTTCCAACGAAGGCCTCAATACGGTCCATATATCCATTTGCAGACTTTACAAACAGAGTGTTTCCAAACTGCTCTATGAAAAGAAAGGTTAAACTATGTGAGTTGAACGCACACATCACAAAGAATTTTCTGAGAATGATTCTGTCTGGTTTTTATTTGAAGATATTTCCCTTTCTACTGTTGGCATCAAATGGCTAGAAATCTCCACTTGCAAATTCCGCAAAAAGAGTGTTTCAAATCTGCTCTGTCTAAAGGGACGTTCCACTCTGTGAGTTGAATGCACACAACACAAAGAATTTACTGAGAATTCTTCCGTCTAGCATTCAATGAAGAAATCCCGTTTCCAACGAAGGCCTCAAACAGGTCCATACATCCACTTGCAGAGTTTACAAACAGTGTGTTTCCAAACTCCTCTATGAAAAGAAAGGTTAAACTCTGTGAGTGGAACGCACACATCACAAAGCACTTTCTGAGAATGATTCTGTCTGGTTATTATACGAAGATATTTCCTTTTCTGCAATTGTCCTCAAAACGCTTGAAATCTCCACCTGAAAATGCCACAGCAAGAGTGTTTCAAATCTGCTCTCTCTAAAGCAAGGTTCAACTCTGTGAGTTGAATACACACAACACAAAAAAGTTACTGAGAACTCTTCTTAGTCTAGCATGAAAGGAAGAAACCCCGTTTGCAACGAAGGCCTCAAAGAGGTCCAAATATCCACTTGCAGACATAACAAGCAGAGTGTTTCTAAACTGCTCTATGAAAAGAAAGGTTAAACTCTGTGAGTTGAAGGCACACATCACAAAGTAGTTTCTGAGAATGATTCTGTCTAGTTTTTATTTGAAGATATTTCCTTTTCTACTGTTGGCATCAAATCGCTTGAAATCTCCACTTGCAAACTCCACAAAAAGAGTGTTTCAAATCTGCTCTGTGTAAAGGGACGTTCCACTCTGTGAGTTGAATACACACAGCACAAAGAAGTTACTGAGAATTCTTCTGTCTAGCATGAAATGAAGAAATCCCGTTTCCAACGAAGGCCTCAATGCGGTCCATATATCCACTTGCAGACTTTACAAACAGAGTGTTTCCAAACTGCTCTATGAAAAGAAAGGTTAAACTATGTGAGTTGAATGCACACATCACAAAGAATTTTCTGAGAATGATTCTGTCTAGTTTTTATTTGAAGATATTTCCTTTTCTACTGTTGGCATCAAATGGCTAGAAATCTCCACTTGCAAATTCCGCAAAAAGAGTGTTTCAAATCTGCTCTGTCTAAAGGGACGTTCCACTCTGTGAGTTGAATGCACACAACACAAAGAATTTACTGAGAATTCTTCCGTCTAGCATGCAATGAAGAAATCCCGTTTCCAACGAAGGCCTCAAACAGGTCCATATATCCAATTGCAGACTTTACAAACAGTGTGTTTCCAAACTCCTCTATGAAAAGAAAGGTTAAACTCTGTGAGTTGAACGCACACATCACAAAGCACTTTCTGAGAATGATTCTGTCTGGTTATTATACGAAGATATTTCCTTTTCTGCAATTGTCCTCAAATCGCTTGAAATCTCCACCTGAAAATGCCACAGCAAGAGTGTTTCAAATCTGCTCTCTCTAAAGCAAGGTTCAACTCTGTGAGTTGAATACACACAACACAAAAAAGTTACTGAGAACTCTTCTTAGTCTAGCATTAAAGGAAAAAACCCCGTTTGCAACGAAGGCCTCAAAGAGGTAAAAATATCCACTTGCAGACATAACAAGCAGAGTGTTTCTAAACTGCTCTAAGAAAAGAAAGGTTAAACTCTGTGAGTTGAAGGCACACATCACAAAGAATTTTCTGAGAATGATTCTGTCTGGTTTTTATTTGAAGATATTTCCCTTTCTACTGTTGGCATCAAATGGCTAGAAATCTCCACTTGCAAATTCCGCAAAAAGAGTGTTTCAAATCTGCTCTGTCTAAAGGGACGTTCCACTCTGTGAGTTGAATGCACACAACACAAAGAATTTACTGAGAATTCTTCCGTCGAGCATTCAATGAAGAAATCCCGTTTCCAACGAAGGCCTCAAACAGGTCCATATATCCAATTGCAGACTTTACAAACAGTGTGTTTCCAAACTCCTCTATGAAAAGAAAGGTTAAACTCTGTGAGTTGAACGCACACATCACAAAGCACTTTCTGAGAATGATTCTGTCTGGTTGTTATACGAAGATATTTCCTTTTCTGCAATTGTCCTCAAATCGCTTGAAATCTCCACCTGCAAATGCCACAGCAAGAGTGTTTCAAATCTGCTCTCTCTAAAGCAAGGTTCAACTCTGTGAGTTGAATACACACAACACAAAAAAGTTACTGAGAACTCTTTAGTCTAGCATTAAAGGAAGAAACCCCGTTTGCAACGAAGGCCTCAAAGAGGTCCAAATATCCACTTGCAGACATAACAAGCAGAGTGTTTCTAAACTGCTCTATGAAAAGAAAGGTTAAACTCTGTGAGTTGAAGGCACACATCACAAAGTAGTTTCTGAGAATGATTCTGTCTAGTTTTTATTTGAAGATATTTCCTTTTCTACTGTTGGCATCAAATCGCTTGAAATCTCCACTTGCAAACTCCACAAAAAGAGTGTTTCAAATCTGCTCTGTGTAAAGGGACGTTCCACTCTGTGAGTTGAATACACACAGCACAAAGAAGTTACTGAGAATTCTTCTGTCTAGCATGAAATGAAGAAATCCCGTTTCCAACGAAGGCCTCAATGCGGTCCATATATCCACTTGCAGACTTTACAAACAGAGTGTTTCCAAACTGCTCTATGAAAAGAAAGGTTAAACTATGTGAGTTGAACGCACACATCACAAAGAATTTTCTGAGAATGATTCTGTCTGGTTTTTATTTGAAGATATTTCCCTTTCTACTGTTGGCATCAAATGGCTAGAAATCTCCACTTGCAAATTCCGCAAAAAGAGTGTTTCAAATCTGCTCTGTCTAAAGGGACGTTCCACTCTGTCAGTTGAATTCACACAACACAAAGAATTTACTGAGAATTCTTCCGTCTAGCATTCAATGAAGAAATCCCGTTTCCAACGAAGGCCTCAAACAGGTCCATATATCCAATTGCAGAGTTTACAAACAGTGTGTTTCCAAACTCCTCTATGAAAAGAAAGGTTAAACTCTGTGAGTTGAACGCACACATCACAAAGCACTTTCTGAGAATGATTCTGTCTGGTTATTATACGAAGATATTTCCTTTTCTGCAATTGTCCTCAAATCGCTTGAAATCTCCACCTGAAAATGCCACAGCAAGAGTGTTTCAAATCTGCTCTCTCTAAAGCAAGGTTCAACTCTGTGAGTTGAATACACACAACACAAAAAAGTTACTGAGAACTCTTCTTAGTCTAGCATGAAAGGAAGAAACCCCGTTTGCAACGAAGGCCTCAAAGAGGTCCAAATATCCACTTGCAGACATAACAAGCAGAGTGTTTCTAAACTGCTCTAAGAAAAGAAAGGTTAAACTCTGTGAGTTGAAGGCACACATCACAAAGTAGTTTCTGAGAATGATTCTGTCTAGTTTTTATTTGAAGATATTTCCTTTTCTACTGTTGGCATCAAATCGCTTGAAATCTCCACTTGCAAATTCCACAAAAAGAGTGTTTCAAATCTGCTCTGTGCAAAGGGACGTTCCACTCTGTGAGTTGAATACACACAGCACAAAGAAGTTACTGAGAATTCTTCTGTCTAGCATGAAATGAAGAAATCCCGTTTCCAACGAAGGCCTCAATGCGGTCCATATATCCACTTGCAGACTTTACAAACAGAGTGTTTCCAAACTGCTCTATGAAAAGAAAGGTTAAACTATGTGAGTTGAACGCACACATCACAAAGAATTTTCTGAGAATGATTCTGTCTGGTTTTTATTTGAAGATATTTCCCTTTCTACTGTTGGCATCAAATGGCTAGAAATCTCCACTTGCAAATTCCGCAAAAAGAGTGTTTCAAATCTGCTCTGTCTAAAGGGACGTTCCACTCTGTGAGTTGAATGCACACAACACAAAGAATTTACTGAGAATTCTTCCGTCTAGCATTCAATGAAGAAATCCCGTTTCCAACGAAGGCCTCAAACAGGTCCATATATCCAATTGCAGACTTTACAAACAGTGTGTTTCCAAACTGCTCTATGAAAAGAAAGGTTAAACTCTGTGAGTTGAACGCACACATCACAAAGCACTTTCTGAGAATGATTCTGTCTGGTTATTATACGAAGATATTTCCTTTTCTGCAATTGTCCTCAAATCGCTTGAAATCTCCACCTGAAAATGCCACAGCAAGAGTGTTTCAAATCTGCTCTCTCTAAAGCAAGGTTCAACTCTGTGAGTTGAATACACACAACACAAAAAAGTTACTGAGAACTCTTCTTAGTCTAGCATGAAAGGAAGAAACCCCGTTTGCAACGAAGGCCTCAAAGAGGTCCAAATATCCACTTGCAGACATAACAAGCAGAGTGTTTCTAAACTGCTCTAAGAAAAGAAAGGTTAAACTCTGTGAGTTGAAGGCACACATCACAAAGTAGTTTCTGAGAATGATTCTGTCTAGTTTTTATTTGAAGATATTTCCTTTTCTACTGTTGGCATCAAATCGCTTGAAATCTCCACTTGCAAACTCCACAAAAAGAGTGTTTCAAATCTGCTCTGTGTAAAGGGACGTTCCACTCTGTGAGTTGAATACACACAGCACAAAGAAGTTACTGAGAATTCTTCTGTCTAGCATGAAATGAAGAAATCCCGTTTCCAACGAAGGCCTCAATGCGGTCCATATATCCACTTGCAGACTTTACAAACAGAGTGTTTCCAAACTGCTCTATGAAAAGAAAGGTTAAACTATGTGAGTTGAACGCACACATCACAAAGAATTTTCTGAGAATGATTCTGTCTGGTTTTTATTTGAAGATATTTCCCTTTCTACTGTTGGCATCAAATGGCTAGAAATCTCCACTTGCAAATTCCGCAAAAAGAGTGTTTCAAATCTGCTCTGTCTAAAGGGACGTTCCACTCTGTGAGTTGAATGCACACAACACAAAGAATTTACTGAGAATTCTTCCGTCTAGCATTCAATGAAGAAATCCCGTTTCCAACGAAGGCCTCAAACAGGTCCATATATCCAATTGCAGACTTTACAAACAGTGTGTTTCCAAACTCCTCTATGAAAAGAAAGGTTTAACTCTGTGAGTTGAACGCACACATCACAAAGCACTTTCTGAGAATGATTCTGTCTGGTTATTATACGAAGATATTTCCTTTTCTGCAATTGTCCTCAAATCGCTTGAAATCTCCACCTGAAAAGGCCACAGCAAGAGTGTTTCAAATCTGCTCTCTCTAAAGCAAGGTTCAACTCTGTGAGTTGAATACACACAACACAAAAAAGTTACTGAGAACTCTTCTTAGTCTAGCATGAAAGGAAGAAACCCCGTTTGCAACGAAGGCCTCAAAGAGGTCCAAATATCCACTTGCAGACATAACAAGCAGAGTGTTTCTAAACTGCTCTAAGAAAAGAAAGGTTAAACTCTGTGAGTTGAAGGCACACATCACAAAGTAGTTTTTGAGAATGATTCTGTCTAGTTTTTATTTGAAGATATTTCCTTTTCTACTGTTGGCATCAAATCGCTTGAAATCTCCACTTGCAAACTCCACAAAAAGAGTGTTTCAAATCCGCTCTGTGCAAAGGGACGTTCCACTCTGTGAGTTGAATACACACAGCACAAAGAAGTTACTGAGAATTCTTCTGTCTAGCATGAAATGAAGAAATCCCGTTTCCAACGAAGGCCTCAATGCGGTCCATATATCCACTTGCAGACTTTACAAACAGAGTGTTTCCAAACTGCTCTATGAAAAGAAAGGTTAAACTATGTGAGTTGAACGCACACATCACAAAGAATTTTCTGAGAATGATTCTGTCTGGTTTTCATTTGAAGATATTTCCCTTTCTACTGTTGGCATCAAATGGCTAGAAATCTCCACTTGCAAATTCCGCAAAAAGAGTGTTTCAAATCTGCTCTGTCTAAAGGGACGTTCCACTCTGTGAGTTGAATGCACACAACACAAAGAATTTACTGAGAATTCTTCCGTCTAGCATTCAATGAAGAAATCCCGTTTCCAACGAAGGCCTCAAACAGGTCCATATATCCACTTGCAGACTTTACAAACAGTGTGTTTCCAAACTCCTCTATGAAAAGAAAGGTTAAACTCTGTGAGTGGAACGCACACATCACAAAGCACTTTCTGAGAATGATTCTGTCTGGTTATTATACGAAGATATTTCCTTTTCTGCAATTGTCCTCAAATCGCTTGAAATCTCCACCTGAAAATGCCACAGCAAGAGTGTTTCAAATCTGCTCTCTCTAAAGCAAGGTTCAACTCTGTGAGTTGAATACACACAACACAAAAAAGTTACTGAGAACTCTTCTTAGTCTAGCATGAAAGGAAGAAACCCCGTTTGCAACGAAGGCCTCAAAGAGGTCCAAATATCCACTTGCAGACATAACAAGCAGAGTGTTTCTAAACTGCTCTAAGAAAAGAAAGGTGAAACTCTGTGAGTTGAAGGCACACATCACAAAGTAGTTTCTGAGAATGATTCTGTCTAGTTTTTATTTGAAGATATTTCCTTTTCTACTGTTGGCATCAAATCGCTTGAAATCTCCACTTGCAAACTCCACAAAAAGAGTGTTTCAAATCTGCTCTGTGCAAAGGGACGTTCCACTCTGTGAGTTGAATACACACAGCACAAAGAAGTTACTGAGAATTCTTCTGTCTAGCATGAAATGAAGAAATCCCGTTTCCAACGAAGGCCTCAATGCGGTCCATATATCCACTTGCAGACTTTACAAACAGAGTGTTTCCAAACTGCTCTATGAAAAGAAAGGTTAAACTATGTGAGTTGAACGCACACATCACAAAGAATTTTCTGAGAATGATTCTGTCTGGTTTTTATTTGAAGATATTTCCCTTTCTACTGTTGGCATCAAATGGCTAGAAATCTCCACTTGCAAATTCCGCAAAAAGAGTGTTTCAAATCTGCTCTGTCTAAAGGGACAGTTCCACTCTGTCAGTTGAATGCACACAACACAAAGAATTTACTGAGAATTCTTCCGTCTAGCATGCAATGAAGAAATCCCGTTTCCAACGAAGGCCTCAAACAGGTCCATATATCCAATTGCAGACTTTACAAACAGTGTGTTTCCAAACTCCTCTATGAAAAGAAAGGTTAAACTCTGTGAGTTGAACGCACACATCACAAAGCACTTTCTGAGAATGATTCTGTCTGGTTGTTATACGAAGATATTTCCTTTTCTGCAATTGTCCTCAAATCGCTTGAAATCTCCACCTGAAAATGCCACAGCAAGAGTGTTTCAAATCTGCTCTCTCTAAAGCAAGGTTCAACTCTGTGAGTTGAATACACACAACACAAAAAAGTTACTGAGAACTCTTCTTAGTCTAGCATGAAAGGAAGAAACCCCGTTTGCAACGAAGGCCTCAAAGAGGTCCAAATATCCACTTGCAGACATAACAAGCAGAGTGTTTCTAAACTGCTCTAAGAAAAGAAAGGTTAAACTCTGTGAGTTGAAGGCACACATCACAAAGTAGTTTCTGAGAATGATTCTGTCTAGTTTTTATTTGAAGATATTTCCTTTTCTACTGTTGGCATCAAATCGCTTGAAATCTCCACTTGCAAATTCCACAAAAAGAGTGTTTCAAATCTGCTCTGTGCAAAGGGACGTTCCACTCTGTGAGTTGAATACACACAGCACAAAGAAGTTACTGAGAATTCTTCTGTCTAGCATGAAATGAAGAAATCCCGTTTCCAACGAAGGCCTCAATGCGGTCCATATATCCACTTGCAGACTTTACAAACAGAGTGTTTCCAAACTGCTCTATGAAAAGAAAGGTTAAACTATGTGAGTTGAACGCACACATCACAAAGAATTTTCTGAGAATGATTCTGCCTGGTTTTTATTTGAAGATATTTCCCTTTCTACTGTTGGCATCAAATGGCTAGAAATCTCCACTTGCAAATTCCGCAAAAAGAGTGTTTCAAATCTGCTCTGTCTAAAGGGACGTTCCACTCTGTGAGTTGAATGCACACAACACAAAGAATTTACTGAGAATTCTTCCGTCTAGCATTCAATGAAGAAATCCCGTTTCCAACGAAGGCCTCAAACAGGTCCATATATCCACTTGCAGACTTTACAAACAGTGTGTTTCCAAACTCCTCTATGAAAAGAAAGGTTAAACTCTGTGAGTGGAACGCACACATCACAAAGCACTTTCTGAGAATGATTCTGTCTGGTTATTATACGAAGATATTTCCTTTTCTGCAATTGTCCTCAAATCGCTTGAAATCTCCACCTGAAAATGCCACAGCAAGAGTGTTTCAAATCTGCTCTCTCTAAAGCAAGGTTCAACTCTGTGAGTTGAATACACACAACACAAAAAAGTTACTGAGAACTCTTCTTAGTCTAGCATTAAAGGAAGAAACCCCGTTTGCAACGAAGGCCTCAAAGAGGTCCAAATATCAACTTGCAGACATAACAAGCAGAGTGTTTCTAAACTGCTCTAAGAAAATAAAGGTTAAACTCTGTGATTTGAAGGCACACATCACAAAGTAGTTTCTGAGAATGATTCTGTCTAGTTTTTATTTGAAGATATTTCCTTTTGTACTGTTGGCATCAAATCGCTTGAAATCTCCACTTGCAAACTCCACAAAAAGAGTGTTTCAAATCTGCTCTGTGTAAAGGGACGTTCCACTCTGTGAGTTGAATACACACAGCACAAAGAAGTTACTGAGAATTCTTCTGTCTAGCATGAAATGAAGAAATCCCGTTTCCAACGAAGGCCTCAATGCGGTCCATATATCCACTTGCAGACATTACAAACAGAGTGTTTCCAAACTGCTCTATGAAAAGAAAGGTTAAACTATGTGAGTTGAACGCACACATCACAAAGAATTTTCTGAGAATGATTCTGTCTGGTTTTTATTTGAAGATATTTCCCTTTCTACTGTTGGCATCAAATGGCTAGAAATCTCCACTTGCAAATTCCGCAAAAAGAGTGTTTCAAATCTGCTCTGTCTAAAGGGACGTTCCACTCTGTCAGTTGAATGCACACAACACAAAGTATTTACTGAGAATTCTTCCGTCTAGCATTCAATGAAGAAATCCCGTTTCCAACGAAGGCCTCAAACAGGTCCATATATCCAATTGCAGACTTTACAAACAGTGTGTTTCCAAACTCCTCTATGAAAAGAAAGGTTAAACTCTGTGAGTTGAACGCAAACATCACAAAGCACTTTCTGAGAATGATTCTGTCTGGTTGTTATACGAAGATATTTCCTTTTCTGAAATTGTCCTCAAATCGCTTGAAATCTCCACCTGAAAATGCCACAGCAAGAGTGTTTCAAATCTGCTCTCTCTAAAGCAAGGTTCAGCTCTGTGAGTTGAATACACACAACACAAAAAAGTTACTGAGAACTCTTCTTAGTCTAGCATGAAAGGAAGAAACCCCGTTTGCAACGAAGGCCTCAAAGAGGTCCAAATATCCACTTGCAGACATAACAAGCAGAGTGTTTCTAAACTGCTCTAAGAAAAGAAAGGTTAAACTCTGTGAGTTGAAGGCACACATCACAAAGTAGTTTCTGAGAATGATTCTGTCTAGTTTTTATTTGAAGATATTTCCTTTTCTACTGTTGGCATCAAATCGCTTGAAATCTCCACTTGCAAACTCCACAAAAAGAGTGTTTCAAATCTGCTCTGTGCAAAGGGACGTTCCACTCTGTGAGTTGAATACACACAGCACAAAGAAGTTACTGAGAATTCTTCTGTCTAGCATGAAATGAAGAAATCCCGTTTCCAACGAAGGCCTCAATGCGGTCCATATATCCACTTGCAGACTTTACAAACAGAGTGTTTCCAAACTGCTCTATGAAAAGAAAGGTTAAACTATGTGAGTTGAACGCACACATCACAAAGAATTTTCTGAGAATGATTCTGTCTGGTTTTTATTTGAAGATATTTCCCTTTCTACTGTTGGCATCAAATGGCTAGAAATCTCCACTTGCAAATTCCGCAAAAAGAGTGTTTCAAATCTGCTCTGTCTAAAGGGACGTTCCACTCTGTGAGTTGAATGCACACAACATAAAGAATTTACTGAGAATTCTTCCGTCTAGCAGTCAATGAAGAAATCCCGTTTCCAACGAAGGCCTCAAACAGGTCCATATATCCAATTGCAGACTTTACAAACAGTGTGTTTCCAAACTCCTCTATGAAAAGAAAGGTTAAACTCTGTGAGTTGAACGCACACATCACAAAGCACTTTCTGAGAATGATTCTGTCTGGTTATTATACGAAGATATTTCCTTTTCTGCAATTGTCCTCAAATCGCTTGAAATCTCCACCTGAAAATGCCACAGCAAGAGTGTTTCAAATCTGCTCTCTCTAAAGCAAGGTTCAACTCTGTGAGTTGAATACACACAACACAAAAAAGTTACTGAGAACTCTTCTTAGTCTAGCATGAAAGGAAGAAACCCCGTTTGCAACGAAGGCCTCAAAGAGGTCCAAATTTCCACTTGCAGACATAACAAGCAGAGTGTTTCTAAACTGCTCTAAGAAAAGAAAGGTTAAACTCTGTGAGTTGAAGGCACACATCACAAAGTAGTTTCTTAGAATGATTCTGTCTAGTTTTTATTTGAAGATATTTCCTTTTCTACTGTTGGCATCAAATCGCTTGAAATCTTCACTTGCAAACTCCACAAAAAGAGTGTTTCAAATCTGCTCTGTGTAAAGGGACGTTCCACTCTGTGAGTTGAATACACACAGCACAAAGAAGTTGCTGAGAATTCTTCTGTCTAGCATGAAATGAAGAAATCCCGTTTCCAACGAAGGCCTCAATGCGGTCCATATATCCACTTGCAGACTTTACAAACAGAGTGTTTCCAAACTGCTCTATGAAAAGAAAGGTTAAACTATGTGAGTTGAACGCACACATCACAAAGAATTTTCTGAGAATGATTCTGTCTGGTTTTTATTTGAAGATATTTCCCTTTCTACTGTTGGCATCAAATGGCTAGAAATCTCCACTTGCAAATTCCGCAAAAAGAGTGTTTCAAATCTGCTCTGTCTAAAGGGACGTTCCACTCTGTGAGTTGAATGCACACAACACAAAGAATTTACTGAGAATTCTTCCGTCTAGCATTCAATGAATAAATCCCGTTTCCAACGAAGGCCTCAAACAGGTCCATATATCCAATTGCAGACTTTACAAACAGTGTGTTTCCAAACTCCTCTATGAAAAGAAAGGTTAAACTCTGTGAGTTGAACGCACACATCACAAAGCACTTTCTGAGAATGATTCTGTCTGGTTGTTATACGAAGATATTTCCTTTTCTGCAATTGTCCTCAAATCGCTTGAAATCTCCACCTGAAAATGCCACAGCAAGAGTGTTTCAAATCTGCTCTCTCTAAAGCAAGGTTCAACTCTGTGAGTTGAATACACACAACACAAAAAAGTTACTGAGAACTCTTCTTAGTCTAGCATGAAAGGAAGAAACCCCGTTTGCAACGAAGGCCTCAAAGAGGTCCAAATATCCACTTGCAGACATAACAAGCAGAGTGTTTCTAAACTGCTCTAAGAAAAGAAAGGTTAAACTCTGTGAGTTGAAGGCACACATCACAAAGTAGTTTCTGAGAATGATTCTGTCTAGTTTTTATTTGAAGATATTTCCTTTTCTACTGTTGGCATCAAATCGCTTGAAATCTCCACTTGCAAATTCCACAAAAAGAGTGTTTCAAATCTGCTCTGTGCAAAGGGACGTTCCACTCTGTGAGTTGAATACACACAGCACAAAGAAGTTACTGAGAATTCTTCTGTCTAGCATGAAATGAAGAAATCCCGTTTCCAACGAAGGCCTCAATGCGGTCCATATATCCACTTGCAGACTTTACAAACAGAGTGTTTCCAAACTGCTCTATGAAAAGAAAGGTTAAACTATGTGAGTTGAACGCACACATCACAAAGAATTTTCTGAGAATGATTCTGTCTGGTTTTTATTTGAAGATATTTCCCTTTCTACTGTTGGCATCAAATGGCTAGAAATCTCCACTTGCAAATTCCGCAAAAAGAGTGTTTCAAATCTGCTCTGTCTAAAGGGACGTTCCACTCTGTGAGTTGAATGCACACAACACAAAGAATTTACTGAGAATTCTTCCGTCTAGCATTCAATGAAGAAATCCCGTTTCCAACGAAGGCCTCAAACAGGTCCATATATCCAATTGCAGACTTTACAAACAGTGTGTTTCCAAACTCCTCTATGAAAAGAAAGGTTAAACTCTGTGAGTTGAACGCACACAACACAAAGCACTTTCTGAGAATGATTCTGTCTGGTTGTTATACGAAGATATTTCCTTTTCTGCAATTGTCCTCAAATCGCTTGAAATCTCCACCTGAAAATACCACAGCAAGAGTGTTTCAAATCTGCTCTCTCTAAAGCAAGGTTCAACTCTGTGAGTTGAATACACACAACACAAAAAAGTTACTGAGAACTCTTCTTAGTCTAGCATGAAAGGAAGAAACCCCGTTTGCAACGAAGGCCTCAAAGAGGTCCAAATATCCACTTGCAGACATAACAAGCAGAGTGTTTCTAAACTGCTCTAAGAAAAGAAAGGTTAAACTATGTGAGTTGAACGCACACATCACAAAGAATTTTCTGAGAATGATTCTGTCTAGTTTTTATTTGAAGATATTTCCTTTTCTACTGTTGGCATCAAATCGCTTGAAATCTCCACTTGCAAACTCCACAAAAAGAGTGTTTAAAATCTGCTCTGTGCAAAGGGACGTTCCACTCTGTGAGTTGAATACACACAGCACAAAGAAGTTACTGAGAATTCTTCTGTCTAGCATGAAATGAAGAAATCCCGTTTCCAACGAAGGCCTCAATGCGGTCCATATATCCACTTGCAGACTTTACAAACAGAGTGTTTCCAAACTGCTCTATGAAAAGAAAGGTTAAACTATGTGAGTTGAACGCACACATCACAAAGAATTTTCTGAGAATGATTCTGTCTGGTTTTTATTTGAAGATATTTCCCTTTCTACTGTTGGCAACAAATGGCTAGAAATCTCCACTTGCAAATTCCACAAAAAGAGTGTTTCAAATCTGCTCTGTCTAAAGGGACGTTCCACTCTGTGAGTTGAATGCACACAACACAAAGAATTTACTGAGAATTCTTCCGTCTAGCATTCAATGAAGAAATCCCGTTTCCAACGAAGGCCTCAAACAGGTCCATATATCCAATTGCAGACTTTACAAACAGTGTGTTTCCAAACTCCTCTATGAAAAGAAAGGTTAAACTCTGTGAGTTGAACGCACACATCACAAAGCACTTTCTGAGAATGATTCTGTCTGGTTATTATACGAAGATATTTCCTTTTCTGCAATTGTCCTCAAATCGCTTGAAATCTCCACCTGAAAATTCCACAGCGAGAGTGTTTCAAATCTGCTCTCTCTAAAGCAAGGTTCAACTCTGTGAGTTGAATACACACAACACAAAAAAGTTACTGAGAACTCTTCTTAGTCTAGCATTAAAGGAAGAAACCCCGTTTGCAACGAAGGCCTCAAAGAGGTCCAAATATCCACTTGCAGACATAACAAGCAGAGTGTTTCTAAACTGCTCTAAGAAAAGAAAGGTTAAACTCTGTGAGTTGAAGGCACACATCACAAAGTAGTTTCTGAGAATGATTCTGTCTAGTTTTTATTTGAAGATATTTCCTTTTCTACTGTTGGCATCAAATCGCTTGAAATCTCCACTTGCAAACTCCACAAAAAGAGTGTTTCAAATCTGCTCTGTGTAAAGGGACGTTCCACTCTGTGAGTTGAATACACACAGCACAAAGAAGTTACTGAGAATTCTTCTGTCTAGCATGAAATGAAGAAATCCCGTTTCCAACGAAGGCCTCAATGCGGTCCATATATCCACTTGCAGACTTTACAAACAGAGTGTTTCCAAACTGCTCTATGAAAAGAAAGGTTAAACTATGTGAGTTGAACGCACACATCACAAAGAATTTTCTGAGAATGATTCTGTCTGGTTTTTATTTGAAGATATTTCCCTTTCTACTGTTGGCATCAAATGGCTAGAAATCTCCACTTGCAAATTCCGCAAAAAGAGTGTTTCAAATCTGCTCTGTCTAAAGGGACGTTCCACTCTGTGAGTTGAATGCACACAACACAAAGAATTTACTGAGAATTCTTCCGTCTAGCATTCAATGAAGAAATCCCGTTTCCAACGAAGGCCTCAAACAGGTCCATATATCCACTTGCAGTCTTTACAAACAGTGTGTTTCCAAACTCCTCTATGAAAAGAAAGGTTAAACTCTGTGAGTTGAACGCACACATCACAAAGCACTTTCTGAGAATGATTCTGTCTGGTTATTATACGAAGATATTTCCTTTTCTGCAATTGTCCTCAAATCGCTTGAAATCTCCACCTGAAAATGCCACAGCAAGAGTGTTTCAAATCTGCTCTCTCTAAAGCAAGGTTCAACTCTGTGAGTTGAATACACACAACACAAAAAAGTTACTGAGAACTCTTCTTAGTCTAGCATGAAAGGAAGAAACCCCGTTTGCAACGAAGGCCTCAAAGAGGTCCAAATATCCACTTGCAGACATAACAAGCAGAGTGTTTCTAAACTGCTCTAAGAAAAGAAAGGTTAAACTCTGTGAGTTGAAGGCACACATCACAAAGTAGTTTCTGAGAATGATTCTGTCTAGTTTTTATTTGAAGATATTTCCTTTTCTACTGTTGGCATCAAGTCGCTTGAAATCTCCACTTGCAAACTCCACAAAAAGAGTGTTTCAAATCTGCTCTGTGTAAAGGGACGTTCCACTCTGTGAGTTGAATACACACAGCACAAAGAAGTTACTGAGAATTCTTCTGTCTAGCATGAAATGAAGAAATCCCGTTTCCAACGAAGGCCTCAATGCGGTCCATATATCCACTTGCAGACTTTACAAACAGAGTGTTTCCAAACTGCTCTATGAAAAGAAAGGTTAAACTATGTGAGTTGAACGCACACATCACAAAGAATTTTCTGAGAATGATTCTGTCTGGTTTTTATTTGAAGATATTTCCCTTTCTACTGTTGGCATCAAATGGCTAGAAATCTCCACTTGCAAATTCCGCAAAAAGAGTGTTTCAAATCTGCTCTGTCTAAAGGGACGTTCCACTCTGTGAGTTGAATGCACACAACACAAAGAATTTACTGAGAATTCTTCCGTCTAGCATTCAATGAAGAAATCCCGTTTCCAACGAAGGCCTCAAACAGGTCCATATATCCACTTGCAGAGTTTACAAACAGTGTGTTTCCAAACTCCTCTATGAAAAGAAAGGTTAAACTCTGTGAGTGGAACGCACACATCACAAAGCACTTTCTGAGAATGATTCTGTCTGGTTATTATACGAAGATATTTCCTTTTCTGCAATTGTCCTCAAATCGCTTGAAATCTCCACCTGAAAATGCCACAGCAAGAGTGTTTCAAATCTGCTCTCTCTAAAGCAAGGTTCAACTCTGTGAGTTGAATACACACAACACAAAAAAGTTACTGAGAACTCTTCTTAGTCTAGCATGAAAGGAAGAAACCCCGTTTGCAACGAAGGCCTCAAAGTAGGTCCAAATATCCACTTGCAGACATAACAAGCAGAGTGTTTCTAAACTGCTCTAAGAAAAGAAAGGTTAAACTCTGTGAGTTGAAGGCACACATCACAAAGTAGTTTCTGAGAATGATTCTGTCTAGTTTTTATTTGAAGATATTTCCTTTTCTACTGTTGGCATCAAATCGCTTGAAATCTCCACTTGCAAACTCCACAAAAAGAGTGTTTCAAATCTGCTCTGTGCAAAGGGACGTTCCACTCTGTGAGTTGAATACACACAGCACAAAGAAGTTACTGAGAATTCTTCTGTCTAGCATGAAATGAAGAAATCCCGTTTCCAACGAAGGCCTCAATGCGGTCCATAGATCCACTTGCAGACTTTACAAACAGAGTGTTTCCAAACTGCTCTATGAAAAGAAAGGTTAAACTATGTGAGTTGAACGCACACATCACAAAGAATTTTCTGAGAATGATTCTGTCTGGTTTTTATTTGAAGATATTTCCCTTTCTACTGTTGGCATCAAATGGCTAGAAATCTCCACTTGCAAATTCCGCAAAAAGAGTGTTTCAAATCTGCTCTGTCTAAAGGGACGTTCCACTCTGTGAGTTGAATGCACACAACACAAAGAATTTACTGAGAATTCTTCCGTCTAGCATTCAATGAAGAAATCCCGTTTCCAACGAAGGCCTCAAAGAGGTCCATATATCCACTTGCAGACTTTACAAACAGTGTGTTTCCAAACTCCTCTATGAAAAGAAAGGTTAAACTCTGTGAGTGGAACGCACACATCACAAAGCACTTTCTGAGAATGATTCTGTCTGGTTGTTATACGAAGGATATTTCCTTTTCTGCAATTGTCCTCAAATCGCTTGAAATCTCCACCTGAAAATGCCACAGCAAGAGTGTTTCAAATCTGCTCTCTCTAAAGCAAGGTTCAGCTCTGTGAGTTGAATACACACAACACAAAAAAGTTACTGAGAACTCTTCTTAGTCTAGCATGAAAGGAAGAAACCCCGTTTGCAACGAAGGCCTCAAAGAGGTCCAAATATCCACTTGCAGACATAACAAGCAGAGTGTTTCTAAACTGCTCTAAGAAAAGAAAGGTTAAACTCTGTGAGTTGAAGGCACACATCACAAAGTAGTTTCTGAGAATGATTCTGTCTAGTTTTTATTTGAAGATATTTCCTTTTCTACTGTTGGCATCAAATCGCTTGAAATCTCCACTTGCAAACTCCACAAAAAGAGTGTTTCAAATCTGCTCTGTGCAAAGGGACGTTCCACTCTGTGAGTTGAATACACACAGCACAAAGAAGTTACTGAGAATTCTTCTGTCTAGCATGAAATGAAGAAATCCCGTTTCCAACGAAGGCCTCAATGCGGTCCATATATCCACTTGCAGACTTTACAAACAGAGTGTTTCCAAACTGCTCTATGAAAAGAAAGGTTAAACTATGTGAGTTGAACGCACACATCACAAAGAATTTTCTGAGAATGATTCTGTCTGGTTTTTATTTGAAGATATTTCCCTTTCTACTGTTGACATCAAATGGCTAGAAATCTCCACTTGCAAATTCCGCAAAAAGAGTGTTTCAAATCTGCTCTGTCTAAAGGGACGTTCCACTCTGTGAGTTCAATGCACACAACACAAAGAATTTACTGAGAATTCTTCCGTCTAGCATTCAATGAAGAAATTCCGTTTCCAACGGAGGCCTCAAACAGGTCTATATATCCAATTGCAGACTTTACAAACAGTGTGTTTCCAAGCTCCTCTAAGAAAAGAAAGGTTAAACTCTGTGAGTTGAACGCACACATCACAAAGCACTTTCTGAGAATGATTCTGTCTGGTTATTATACGAAGATATTTCCTTTTCTGCAATTGTCCTCAAATCGCTTGAAATCTCCACCTGAAAATTCCACAGCAAGAGTGTTTCAAATCTGCTCTCTCTAAAGCAAGGTTCAACTCTGTGAGTTGAATACACACAACACAAAAAAGTTACTGAGAACTCTTCTTAGTCTAGCATGAAAGGAAGAAACCCCGTTTGCAACGAAGGAATCAAAGAGGTCCAAATATCCACTTGCAGACATAACAAGCAGAGTGTTTCTAAACTGCTCTAAGAAAAGAAAGGTTAAACTCTGTGAGATGAAGGCACACATCACAAAGAATTTTCTGAGAATGATTCTGTCTAGTTTTTATTTGAAGATATTTCCTTTTCTACTGTTGGCATCAAATCGCTTGAAATCTCCACTTGCAAATTCCACAAAAAGAGTGTTTCAAAGAGTGTTTCAAATCTGCTCTGTGCAAAGGGACGTTCCACTCTGTGAGTTGAATACACACAGCACAAAGAAGTTACTGAGAATTCTTCTGTCTAGCATGAAATGAAGAAATCCCGTTTCCAACGAAGGCCTCAATGCGGTCCATATATCCACTTGCAGACTTTACAAACAGAGTGTTTCCAAACTGCTCTATGAAAAGAAAGGTTAAACTATGTGAGTTGAACGCACACATCACAAAGAATTTTCTGAGAATGATTCTGTCTGGTTTTTATTTGAAGATATTTCCCTTCCTACTGTTGGCATCAAATGGCTAGAAATCTCCACTTGCAAATTCCGCAAAAAGAGTGTTTCAAATCTGCTCTGTCTAAAGGGACGTTCCACTCTGTGAGTTGAATGCACACAACACAAAGAATTTACTGAGAATTCTTCCGTCTAGCATTCAATGAAGAAATCCCGTTTCCAACGGTAGGCCTCAAACAGGTCCATATATCCAATTGCAGACTTTACAAACAGTGTGTTTCCAAGCTCCTCTATGAAAAGAAAGGTTAAACTCTGTGAGTTGAACGCACACATCACAAAGCACTTTCTGAGAATGATTCTGTCTGGTTATTATACGAAGATATTTCCTTTTCTGCCATTGTCCTCAAATCGCTTGAAATCTCCACTTGAAAATTCCACAGCAAGAGTGTTTCAAATCTGCTCTCTCTAAAGCAAGGTTCAACTCTGTGAGTTGAATACACACAACACAAAAAAGTTACTGAGAACTCTTCTTAGTCTAGCATGAAAGGAAGAAACCCCGTTTGCAACGAAGGCCTCAAAGAGGTCCAAATATCCACTTGCAGACATAACAAGCAGAGTGTTTCTAAACTGCTCTAAGAAAAGAAAGGTTAAACTCTGTGAGTTGAAGGCACACATCACAAAGTAGTTTCTGAGAATGATTCTGTCTAGTTTTTATTTGAAGATATTTCCTTTTCTACTGTTGGCATCAAATCGCTTGAAATCTCCACTTGCAAACTCCACAAAAAGAGTGTTTCAAATCTGCTCTGTGTAAAGGGACGTTCCACTCTGTGAGTTGAATACACACAGCACAAAGAAGTTACTGAGAATTCTTCTGTCTAGCATGAAATGAAGAAATCCCGTTTCCAACGAAGGCCTCAATGCGGTCCATATATCCACTTGCAGACTTTACAAACAGAGTGTTTCCAAACTGCTCTATGAAAAGAAAGGTTAAACTATGTGAGTTGAACGCACACATCACAAAGAATTTTCTGAGAATGATTCTGTCTAGTTTTTATTTGAAGATATTTCCCTTTCTACCGTTGGCATCAAATGGCTAGAATTCTCCAATTGCAAATTCCGCAAAAAGAGTGTTTCTAATCTGGTCTGTCTAAAGGGACGTTCCACTCGGTGAGTTGAATGCACACAACACAAAGAATTTACTGAGAATTCTTCCGTCTAGCATTCAATGAAGAAATCCCGTTTCCAACGAAGCCTCAAACAGGTCCATATATCCACTTGCAGACTTTACAAACAGTGTGTTTCCAAACTCCTCTATGAAAAGAAAGGTTAAACTCTGTGAGTTGAACGCACACATCACAAAGCACTTTCTGAGAATGATTCTGTCTGGTTGTTATACGAAGATATTTCCTTTTCTGCAATTGTCCTCAAATCGCTTGAAATCTCCACCTGAAAATGCCACAGCAAGAGTGTTTCAAATCTGCTCTCTCTAAAGCAAGGTTCAACTCTGTGAGTTGAATACACACAACACAAAAAAGTTACTGAGAACTCTTCTTAGTCTAGCATGAAAGGAAGAAACCCCGTTTGCAACGAAGGCCTCAAAGAGGTCCAAATATCCACTTGCAGACATAACAAGCAGAGTGTTTCTAAACTGCTCTAAGAAAAGAAAGGTTAAACTCTGTGAGTTGAAGGCACACATCACAAAGTAGTTTCTGAGAATGATTCTGTCTAGTTTTTATTTGAAGATATTTCCTTTTCTACTGTTGGCATCAAATCGCTTGAAATCTCCACTTGCAAACTCCACAAAAAGAGTGTTTCAAATCTGCTCTGTGTAAAGGGACGTTCCACTCTGTGAGTTGAATACACACAGCACAAAGAAGTTACTGAGAATTCTTCTGTCTAGCATGAAATGAAGAAATCCCGTTTCCAACGAAGGCCTCAATGCGGTCCATATATCCACTTGCAGACTTTACAAACAGAGTGTTTCCAAACTGCTCTATGAAAAGAAAGGTTAAACTATGTGAGTTGAACGCACACATCACAAAGAATTTTCTGAGAATGATTCTGTCTGGTTTTTATTTGAAGATATTTCCCTTTCTACTGTTGGCATCAAATGGCTAGAAATCTCCACTTGCAAATTCCGCAAAAAGAGTGTTTCAAATCTGCTCTGTCTAAAGGGACGTTCCACTCTGTGAGTTGAATGCACACAACACAAAGAATTTACTGAGAATTCTTCCGTCTAGCATTCAATGAAGAAATCCCGTTTCCAACCAAGGCCTCAAACAGGTCCATATATCCACTTGCAGACTTTACAAACAGTGTGTTTCCAAACTCCTCTATGAAAAGAAAGGTTAAACTCTGTGAGTGGAACGCACACATCACAAAGCACTTTCTGAGAATGATTCTGTCTGGTTATTATACGAAGATATTTCCTTTTCTGCAATTGTCCTCAAAACGCTTGAAATCTCCACCTGAAAATGCCACAGCAAGAGTGTTTCAAATCTGCTCTCTCTAAAGCAAGGTTCAACTCTGTGAGTTGAATACACACAACACAAAAAAGTTACTGAGAACTCTTCTTAGTCTAGCATGAAAGGAAGAAACCCCGTTTGCAACGAAGGCCTCAAAGAGGTCCAAATATCCACTTGCAGACATAACAAGCAGAGTGTTTCTAAACTGCTCTAAGAAAAGAAAGGTTAAACTCTGTGAGTTGAAGGCACACATCACAAAGTAGTTTCTGAGAATGATTCTGTCTAGTTTTTATTTGAAGATATTTCCTTTTCTACTGTTGGCATCAAATCGCTTGAAATCTCCACTTGCAAACTCCACAAAAAGAGTGTTTCAAATCTGCTCTGTGTAAAGGGACGTTCCACTCTGTGAGTTGAATACACACAGCACAAAGAAGTTGCTGAGAATTCTTCTGTCTAGCATGAAATGAAGAAATCCCGTTTCCAACGAAGGCCTCAATGCGGTCCATATATCCACTTGCAGACTTTACAAACAGAGTGTTTCCAAACTGCTCTATGAAAAGAAAGGTTAAACTATGTGAGTTGAACGCACACATCACAAAGAATTTTCTGAGAATGATTCTGTCTGGTTTTTATTTGAAGATGTTTCCCTTTCTACTGTTGGCATCAAATGGCTAGAAATCTCCACTTGCAAATTCCGCAAAAAGAGTGTTTCAAATCTGCTCTGTCTAAAGGGACGTTCCACTGTGTCAGTTGAATGCACACAACACAAAGAATTTACTGAGAATTCTTCCGTCTAGCATTCAATGAAGAAATCCCGTTTCCAACGAAGGCCTCAAACAGGTCCATATATCCACTTGCAGACTTTACAAACAGTGTGTTTCCAAACTCCTCTATGAAAAGAAAGGTTAAACACTGTGAGTTGAACGCACACAACACAAAGCACTTTCTGAGAATGATTCTGTCTGGTTATTATACGAAGATATTTCCTTTTCTGCAATTGTCCTCAAATCGCATGAAATCTCCACCTGAAAATGCCACAGCAAGAGTGTTTCAAATCTGCTCTCTCTAAAGCAAGGTTCAACTCTGTGAGTTGAATACACACAACACAAAAAAGTTACTGAGAACTCTTCTTAGTCTAGCATTAAAGGAAGAAACCCCGTTTGCAACGAAGGCCTCAAAGAGGTCCAAATATCCACTTGCAGACATAACAAGCAGAGTGTTTCTAAACTGCTCTAAGAAAAGAAAGGTTAAACTCTGTGAGTTGAAGGCACACATCACAAAGTAGTTTCTGAGAATGATTCTGTCTAGTTTTTATTTGAAGATATTTCCTTTTCTACTGTTGGCATCAAATCGCTTGAAATCTCCACTTGCAAATTCCACAAAAAGAGTGTTTCAAATCTGCTCTGTGCAAAGGGACGTTCCACTCTGTGAGTTGAATACACACAGCACAAAGAAGTTACTGAGAATTCTTCTGTCTAGCATGAAATGAAGAAATCCCGTTTCCAACGAAGGCCTCAATGCGGTCCATATATCCACTTGCAGACTTTACAAACAGAGTGTTTCCAAACTGCTCTATGAAAAGAAAGGCTAAACTATGTGAGTTGAACGCACACATCACAAAGAATTTTCTGAGAATGATTCTGTCTGGTTTTTATTTGAAGATATTTCCCTTTCTACTGTTGGCATCAAATGGCTAGAAATCTCCACTTGCAAATTCCGCAAAAAGAGTGTTTCAAATCTGCTCTGTCTAAAGGAACGTTCCACTCTGTGAGTTGAATGCACACAACACAAAGAATTTACTGAGAATTCTTCCGTCTAGCATTCAATGAAGAAATCCCGTTTCCAACGAAGGCCTCAAACAGGTCCATATATCCACTTGCAGAGTTTACAAACAGTGTGTTTCCAAACTCCTCTATGAAAAGAAAGGTTAAACTCTGTGAGTGGAACGCACACATCACAAAGCACTTTCTGAGAATGATTCTGTCTGGTTATTATACGAAGATATTTCCTTTTCTGCAATTGTCCTCAAATCGCTTGAAATCTCCACCTGAAAATGCCACAGCAAGAGTGTTTCAAATCTGCTCTCTCTAAAGCAAGGTTCAACTCTGTGAGTTGAATACACACAACACAAAAAAGTTACTGAGAACTCTTCTTAGTCTAGCATGAAAGGAAGAAACCCCGTTTGCAACGAAGGCCTCAAAGAGGTCCAAATATCCACTTGCAGACATAACAAGCAGAGTGTTTCTAAACTGCTCTAAGAAAAGAAAGGTTAAACTCTGTGAGTTGAAGGCACACATCACAAAGTAGTTTCTGAGAATGATTCTGTCTAGTTTTTATTTGAAGATATTTCCTTTTCTACTGTTGGCATCAAATCGCTTGAAATCTCCACTTGCAAACTCCACAAAAAGAGTGTTTCAAATCTGCTCTGTGCAAAGGGACGTTCCACTCTGTGAGTTGAATACACACAGCACAAAGAAGTTACTGAGAATTCTTCTGTCTAGCATGAAATGAAGAAATCCCGTTTCCAACGAAAGCCTCAATGCGGTCCATATATCCACTTGCAGACTTTACAAACAGAGTGTTTCCAAACTGCTCTATGAAAAGAAAGGTTAAACTATGTGAGTTGAACGCACACATCACAAAGAATTTTCTGAGAATGATTCTGTCTGGTTTTTATTTGAAGATATTTCCCTTTCTACTGTTGGCATCAAATGGCTAGAAATCTCCACTTGCAAATTCCGCAAAAAGAGTGTTTCAAATCTGCTCTGTCTAAAGGGACGTTCCACTCTGTGAGTTGAATGCACACAACACAAAGAATTTACTGAGAATTCTTCCGTCTAGCATTCAATGAAGAAATCCCGTTTCCAACGAAGGCCTCAAACAGGTCCATATATCCACTTGCAGACTTTACAAACAGTGTGTTTCCAAACTCCTCTATGAAAAGAAAGGTTAAACTCTGTGAGTGGAACGCACACATCACAAAGCACTTTCTGAGAATGATTCTGTCTGGTTGTTATACGAAGATATTTCCTTTTCTGCAATTGTCCTCAAATCGCTTGAAATCTCCACCTGAAAATGCCACAGCAAGAGTGTTTCAAATCTGCTCTCTCTAAAGCAAGGTTCAACTCTGTGAGTTGAATACACACAACACAAAAATGTTACTGAGAACTCTTCTTAGTCTAGCATGAAAGGAAGAAACCCCGTTTGCAACGAAGGCCTCAAAGAGGTCCAAATATCCACTTGCAGACATAACAAGCAGAGTGTTTCTAAACTGCTCTAAGAAAAGAAAGGTTAAACTCTGTGAGTTGAAGGCACACATCACAAAGTAGTTTCTGAGAATGATTCTGTCTAGTTTTTATTTGAAGATATTTCCTTTTCTACTGCTGGCATCAAATCGCTTGAAATCTCCACTTGCAAACTCCACAAAAAGAGTGTTTCAAATCTGCTCTGTGTAAAGGGACGTTCCACTCTGTGAGTTGAATACACACAGCACAAAGAAGTTACTGAGAATTCTTCTGTCTCGCATGAAATGAAGAAATCCCGTTTCCAACGAAGGCCTCAATGCGGTCCATATATCCACTTGCAGACTTTACAAACAGAGTGTTTCCAAACTGCTCTATGAAAAGAAAGGTTAAACTATGTGAGTTGAACCCACACATCACAAAGAATTTTCTGAGAATGATTCTGTCTGGTTTTTATTTGAAGATATTTCCCTTTCTACTGTTGGCATCAAATGGCTAGAAATCTCCACTTGCAAATTCCGCAAAAAGAGTGTTTCAAATCTGCTCTGTCTAAAGGGACGTTCCACTCTGTGAGTTGAATGCACACAACACAAAGAATTTACTGAGAATTCTTCCGTCTAGCATTCAATGAAGAAATCCCGTTTCCAACGAAGGCCTCAAACAGGTCCATATATCCACTTGCAGACTTTACAAACAGTGTGTTTCCAAACTCCTCTATGGAAAGAAAGGTTAAACTCTGTGAGTTGAACGCACACATCACAAAGCACTTTCTGAGAATGATTCTGTCTGGTTATTATACGAAGATATTTCCTTTTCTGCAATTGTCCTCAAATCGCTTGAAATCTCCACCTGAAAATGCCACAGCAAGAGTGTTTCAAATCTGCTCTCTCTAAAGCAAGGTTCAACTCTGTGAGTTGAATACACACAACACAAAAAAGTTACTGAGAACTCTTCTTAGTCTAGCATGAAAGGAAGAAACCCCGTTTGCAACGAAGGCCTCAAAGAGGTCCAAATATCCACTTGCAGACATAACAAGCAGAGTGTTTCTAAACTGCTCTAAGAAAAGAAAGGTTAAACTCTGTGAGTTGAAGGCACACATCACAAAGTAGTTTCTGAGAATGATTCTGTCTAGTTTTTATTTGAAGATATTTCCTTTTCTACTGTTGGCATCAAATCGCTTGAAATCTCCACTTGCAAACTCCACAAAAAGAGTGTTTCAAATCTGCTCTGTGTAAAGGGACGTTCCACTCTGTGAGTTGAATACACACAGCACAAAGAAGTTACTGAGAATTCTTCTGTCTAGCATGAAATGAAGAAATCCCGTTTCCAACGAAGGCCTCAATGCGGTCCATATATCCACTTGCAGACTTTACAAACAGAGTGTTTCCAAACTGCTCTATGAAAAGAAAGGTTAAACTATGTGAGTTGAACGCACACATCACAAAGAATTTTCTGAGAATGATTCTGTCTGGTTTTTATTTGAAGATATTTCCCTTTCTACTGTTGGCATCAAATGGCTAGAAATCTCCACTTGCAAATTCCGCAAAAAGAGTGTTTCAAATCTGCTCTGTCTAAAGGGACGTTCCACTCTGTCAGTTGAATGCACACAACACAAAGAATTTACTGAGAATTCTTCCGCCTAGCATTCAATGAAGAAATCCCGTTTCCAACGAAGGCCTCAAACAGGTCCATATATCCAATTGCAGACTTTACAAACAGTGTGTTTCCAAACTCCTCTATGAAAAGAAAGGTTAAACTCTGTGAGTTGAACGCACACATCACAAAGCACTTTCTGAGAATGATTCTGTCTGGTTGTTATACGAAGATATTTCCTTTTCTGCAATTGTCCTCAAATCGCTTGAAATCTCCACCTGAAAATGCCACAGCAAGAGTGTTTCAAATCTGCTCTCTCTAAAGCAAGGTTCAACTCTGTGAGTTGAATACACACAACACAAAAAAGTTACTGAGAACTCTTCTTAGTCTAGCATTAAAGGAAGAAACCCCGTTTGCAACGAAGGCCTCAAAGAGGTCCAAATATCCACTTGCAGACATAACAAGCAGAGTGTTTCTAAACTGCTCTAAGAAAAGAAAGGTTAAACTCTGTGAGTTGAAGGCACACATCACAAAGTAGTTTCTGAGAATGATTCTGTCTAGTTTTTATTTGAAGATATTTCCTTTTCTACTGTTGGCATCAAATCGCTTGAAATCTCCACTTGCAAATTCCACAAAAAGAGTGTTTCAAATCTGCTCTGTGCAAAGGGACGTTCCACTCTGTGAGTTGAATACACACAGCACAAAGAAGTTACTGAGAATTCTTCTGTCTAGCATGAAATGAAGAAATCCCGTTTCCAACGAAGGCCTCAATGCGGTCCATATATCCACTTGCAGACTTTACAAACAGAGTGTTTCCAAACTGCTCTATGAAAAGAAAGGTTAAATTATGTGAGTTGAACGCACACATCACAAAGAATTTTCTGAGAATGATTCTGTCTGGTTTTTATTTGAAGATATTTCCCTTTCTACTGTTGGCATCAAATGGCTAGAAATCTCCACTTGCAAATTCCGCAAAAAGAGTGTTTCAAATCTGCTCTGTCTAAAGGGACGTTCCACTCTGTGAGTTGAATGCACACAACACAAAGAATTTACTGAGAATTCTTCCGTCTAGCATTCAATGAAGAAATCCCGTTTCCAACGAAGGCCTCAAACAGGTCCATATATCCACTTGCAGACTTTACAAACAGTGTGTTTCCAAACTCCTCTATGAAAAGAAAGGTTAAACTCTGTGAGTGGAACGCACACATCACAAAGCACTTTCTGAGAATGATTCTGTCTGGTTATTATACGAAGATATTTCTTTTTCTGCAATTGTCCTCAAATCGCTTGAAATCTCCACCTGAAAATGCCACAGCAAGAGTGTTTCAAATCTGCTCTCTCTAAAGCAAGGTTCAACTCTGTCAGTTGAATACACACAACACAAAAAAGTTACTGAGAACTCTTCTTAGTCTAGCATTAAAGGAAGAAACCCCGTTTGCAACGAAGGCCTCAAAGAGGTCCAAATATCCACTTGCAGACATAACAAGCAGAGTGTTTCTAAAGTGCTCTAAGAAAAGAAAGGTTAAACTCTGTGAGTTGAAGGCACACATCACAAAGTAGTTTCTGAGAATGATTCTGTCTAGTTTTTATTTGAAGATATTTCCTTTTCTACTGTTGGCATCAAATCGCTTGAAATCTCCACTTGCAAACTCCACAAAAAGAGTGTTTCAAATCTGCTCTGTGTAAAGGGACGTTCCACTCTGTGAGTTGAATACACACAGCACAAAGAAATTACTGAGAATTCTTCTGTCTAGCATGAAATGAAGAAATCCCGTTTCCAACGAAGGCCTCAATGCGGTCCATATATCCACTTGCAGACTTTACAAACAGAGTGTTTCCAAACTGCTCTATGAAAACAAAGGTTAAATTATGTGAGTTGAACGCACACATCACAAAGAATTTTCTGAGAATGATTCTGTCTGGTTTTTATTTGAAGATATTTCCCTTTCTACTGTTGGCATCAAATGGCTAGAAATCTCCACTTGCAAATTCCGCAAAAAGAGTGTTTCAAATCTGCTCTGTCTAAAGGGACGTTCCACTCTGTGAGTTGAATGCACACAACACAAAGAATTTACTGAGAATTCTTCCGTCTAGCATTCAATGAAGAAATCCCGTTTCCAACGAAGGCCTCAAACAGGTCCATATATCCACTTGCAGAGTTTACAAACAGTGTGTTTCCAAACTCCTCTATGAAAAGAAAGGTTAAACTCTGTGAGTGGAACGCACACATCACAAAGCACTTTCTGAGAATGATTCTGTCTGGTTATTATACGAAGATATTTCCTTTTCTGCAATTGTCCTCAAATCGCTTGAAATCTCCACCTGAAAATGCCACAGCAAGAGTGTTTCAAATCTGCTCTCTCTAAAGCAAGGTTCAACTCTGTGAGTTGAATACACACAACACAAAAAAGTTACTGAGAACTCTTCTTAGTCTAGCATGAAAGGAAGAAACCCCGTTTGCAACGAAGGCCTCAAAGAGGTCCAAATATCCACTTGCAGACATAACAAGCAGAGTGTTTCTAAACTGCTCTAAGAAAAGAAAGGTTAAACTCTGTGAGTTGAAGGCACACATCACAAAGTAGTTTCTGAGAATGATTCTGTCTAATTTTTATTTGCAGATATTTCCTTTTCTACTGTTGGCATCAAATCGCTTGAAATCTCCACTTGCAAATTCCACAAAAAGAGTGTTTCAAATCTGCTCTGTGTAAAGGGACATTCCATTCTGTGAGTTGAATACACACAACACAAAGAAGTTATTGAGAATTCTTCTGTCTAGCATGAAATGAAGAAATCCCGTTTCCAACGAAGGCCTCAAAGCGGTCCATATATCCACTTGCAGACATTACCAACAGAGTGTTTCCAAACTGCTCTATGAAAAGAAAGGTTAAACTATGTGAGTTGAACGCACACATCACAAAGAATTTTCTGAGGATGATTCTGTCTAGTTTTTATTTGAAGATATTTCCCTTTCTACTGTTGGCATCAAATGGCTAGAAATCTCCACTTGCAAATTCCGCAAAAAGAGTGTTTCAAATGTGCTCTGTCTAAAGGGATGTTCCACTCTGTGAGTTGAATGCACACAACACAAAGAATTTACTGAGAATTCTTCCGTCTAGCATTATATGATAAAATCCCGTTTCCAACGAAGGCCTCAAACAGGTCCATATATCCACTTGCAGACTTTACAAACAGTGTGTTTCCAAACTCCTCTATGAAAAGAAAGGTTAAACTCTGTGAGTTGAACGCACACATCACAAAGCACTTTCTGAGAATGATTCTGTCTGGTTATTATACGAAGATATTTCCTTTTCTGCAATTGTCCTCAAATCGCTTGAAATCTCCACCCGAAAATGCCACAGCAAGAGTGTTTCAAATCTGCTCTCTCTAAAGCAAGGTTCAACTCTGTGAGTTGAATACACACAACACAAAAAAGTTACTGAGAACTCTTCTTAGTCTAGCATTAAAGGAAGAAACCCCGTTTGCAACGAAGGCCTCAAAGAGGTCCAAATATCCACTTGCAGACATAACAAGCAGAGTGTTTCTAAACTGCTCTAAGAAAAGAAAGGTTAAACTCTGTGAGTTGAAGGCACACATCACAAAGTAGTTTCTGAGAATGATTCTCTCTAGTTTTTATTTGAAGATATTTCCTTTTCTACTGTTGGCATCAAATCGCTTGAAATCTCCACTTGCAAACTCCACAAAAAGAGTGTTTCAAATCTGCTCTGTGCAAAGGGACGTTCCACTCTGTGAGTTGAATACACACAGCACAAAGAAGTTACTGAGAATTCTTCTGTCTAGCATGAAATGAAGAAATCCCGTTTCCAACGAAGGCCTCAATGCGGTCCATATATCCACTTGCAGACTTTACAAACAGAGTGTTTCCAAACTGCTCTATGAAAAGAAAGGTTAAACTATGTGAGTTGAACGCACACATCACAAAGAATTTTCTGAGAATGATTCTGTCTGGTTTTTATTTGAAGATATTTCCCTTTCTACTGTTGGCATCAAATGGCTAGAAATCTCCACTTCCAAATTCCGCAAAAAGAGTGTTTCAAATCTGCTCTGTCTAAAGGGACGTTCCACTCTGTGAGTTGAATACACACAACACAAAGAATTTACTGAGAATTCTTCCGCCTAGCATTCAATGAAGAAATCCCGTTTCCAACGAAGGCCTCAAACAGGTCCATATATCCAATTGCAGACTTTACAAACAGTGTGTTTCCAAACTCCTCTATGAAAAGAAAGGTTAAACTCTGTGAGTTGAACGCACACATCACAAAGCACTTTCTGAGAATGATTCTGTCTGGTTATTATACGAAGATATTTCCTTTTCTGCAATTGTCCTCAAATCGCTTGAAATCTCCACCTGAAAATGCCACAGCAAGAGTGTTTCAAATCTGCTCTCTCTAAAGCAAGGTTCAACTCTGTGAGTTGAATACACACAACACAAAAAAGTTACTGAGAACTCTTCTTAGTCTAGCATGAAAGGAAGAAACCCCGTTTGCAACGAAGGCCTCAATGCGGTCCATATATCCACTTGCAGACATAACAAGCAGAGTGTTTCTAAACTGCTCTAAGAAAAGAAAGGATAAACTCTGTGAGTTGAAGGCACACATCACAAAGTAGTTTCTGAGAATGATTCTGTCTAGTTTTTATTTGAAGATATTTCCTTTTCTACTGTTGGCATCAAATCGCTTGAAATCTCCACTTGGAAATTCCACAAAAAGAGTGTTTCAAATCTGCTCTGTGTAAAGGAACGTTCCACTCTGTGAGTTGAATACACACAGCACAAAGAAGTTACTGAGAATTCTTCTGTCTAGCATGAAATGAAGAAATCCCGTTTCCAACGAAGGCCTCAATGCGGTCCATATATCCACTTGCAGACTTTACAAACAGAGTGTTTCCAAACTGCTCTATGAAAAGAAAGGTTAAACTATGTGAGTTGAACGCACACATCACAAAGAATTTTCTGAGAATGATTCTGTCTGGTTTTTATTTGAAGATATTTCCCTTTCTACTGTTGGCATCAAATGGCTAGAAATCTCCACTTGCAAATTCCGCAAAAAGAGTGTTTTAAATCTGCTCTGTCTAAAGGGACGTTCCACTCTGTGAGTTGAATGCACACAACACAAAGAATTTACTGAGAATTCTTCCGTCTAGCATTCAATGAAGAAATCCCGTTTCCAACGAAGGCCTCAAACAGGTCCATATATCCACTTGCAGACTTTACAAACAGTGTGTTTCCAAACTCCTCTATGGAAAGAAAGGTTAAACTCTGTGAGTTGAACGCACACATCACAAAGCACTTTCTGAGAATGATTCTGTCTGGTTATTATACGAAGATATTTCCTTTTCTGCAATTGTCCTCAAATCGCTTGAAATCTCCACCTGAAAATGCCACAGCAAGAGTGTTTCAAATCTGCTCTCTCTAAAGCAAGGTTCAACTCTGTGAGTTGAATACACACAACACAAAAAAGTTACTGAGAACTCTTCTTAGTCTAGCATGAAAGGAAGAAACCCCGTTTGCAACGAAGGCCTCAAAGAGGTCCAAATATCCACTTGCAGACATAACAAGCAGAGTGTTTCTAAACTGCTCTAAGAAAAGAAAGGTTAAACTCTGTGAGTTGAAGGCACACATCACAAAGTAGTTTCTGAGAATGATTCTGTCTAGTTTTTATTTGAAGATATTTCCTTTTCTACTGTTGGCATCAAATCGCTTGAAATCTCCACTTGCAAACTCCACAAAAAGAGTGTTTCAAATCTGCTCTGTGCAAAGGGACGTTCCACTCTGTGAGTTGAATACACACAGCACAAAGAAGTTACTGAGAATTCTTCTGTCTAGCATGAAATGAAGAAATCCCGTTTCCAACGAAGGCCTCAATGCGGTCCATATATCCACTTGCAGACTTTACAAACAGAGTGTTTCCAAACTGCTCTATGAAAAGAAAGGTTAAACTATGTGAGTTGAACGCACACATCACAAAGAATTTTCTGAGAATGATTCTGTCTGGTTTTTATCTGAAGATATTTCCCTTTCTACTGTTGGCATCAAATGGCTAGAAATCTCCACTTGCAAATTCCGCAAAAAGAGTGTTTCAAATCTGCTCTGTCTAAAGGGACGTTCCACTCTGTGAGTTGAATGCACACAACACAAAGAATTTACTGAGAATTCTTCCGTCTAGCATTCAATGAAGAAATCCCGTTTCCAACGAAGGCCTCAAACAGGTCCATATATCCACTTGCAGACTTTACAAACAGTGTGTTTCCAAACTCCTCTATGAAAAGAAAGGTTAAACTCTGTGAGTGGAACGCACACATCACAAAGCACTTTCTGAGAATGATTCTGTCTGGTTGTTATACGAAGATATTTCCTTTTCTGCAATTGTCCTCAAATCGCTTGAAATCTCCACCTGAAAATGTCACAGCAAGAGTGTTTCAAATCTGCTCTCTCTAAAGCAAGGTTCAACTCTGTGAGTTGAATACACACAACACAGAAAAGTTACTGAGAACTCTTCTTAGTCTAGCATGAAAGGAAGAAACCCCGTTTGCAACGAAGGCCTCAAAGAGGTCCAAATATCCACTTGCAGACATAACAAGCAGAGTGTTTCTAAACTGCTCTAAGAAAAGAAAGGTTAAACTCTGTGAGTTGAAGGCACACATCACAAAGTAGTTTCTGAGAATGATTCTGTCTAGTTTTTATTTGAAGATATTTCCTTTTCTACTGTTGGCATCAAATCGCTTGAAATCTCCACTTGCAAACTCCACAAAAAGAGTGTTTCAAATCTGCTCTGTGTAAAGGGACGTTCCACTCTGTGAGTTGAATACACACAGCACAAAGAAGTTACTGAGAATTCTTCTGTCTAGCATGAAATGAAGAAATCCCGTTTCCAACGAAGGCCTCAATGCGGTCCATATATCCACTTGCAGACTTTACAAACAGAGTGTTTCCAAACTGCTCTATGAAAAGAAAGGTTAAACTATGTGAGTTGAACGCACACATCACAAAGAATTTTCTGAGAATGATTCTGTCTGGTTTTTATTTGAAGATATTTCCCTTTCTACTGTTGGCATCAAATGGCTAGAAATCTCCACTTGCAAATTCCGCAAAAAGAGTGTTTCAAATCTGCTCTGTCTAAAGGGACGTTCCACTCTGTGAGTTGAATGCACACAACACAAAGAATTTACTGAGAATTCTTCCGTCTAGCATTCAATGATGAAATCCCGTTTCCAACGAAGGCCTCAAACAGGTCCATATATCCAATTGTAGACTTTACAAACAGTGTGTTTCCAAACTCCTCTATGAAAAGAAAGGTTAAACTCTGTGAGTTGAACGCACACATCACAAAGCACTTTCTGAGAATGATTCTGTCTGGTTATTATACGAAGATATTTCCTTTTCTGCAATTGTCCTCAAATCGCTTGAAATCTCCACCTGAAAATTCCACAGCGAGAGTGTTTCAAATCTGCTCTCTCTAAAGCAAGGTTCAACTCTGTGAGTTGAATACACACAACACAGAAAAGTTACTGAGAACTCTTCTTAGTCTAGCATTAAAGGAAGAAACCCCGTTTGCAACGAAGGCCTCAAAGAGGTCCAAATATCCACTTGCAGACATAACAAGCAGAGTGTTTCTAAACTGCTCTAAGAAAAGAAAGGTTAAACTCTGTGAGTTGAAGGCACACATCACAAAGTAGTTTCTGAGAATGATTCTGTCTAGTTTTTATTTGAAGATATTTCCTTTTCTACTGTTGGCATCAAATCGCTTGAAATCTCCACTTGCAAACTCCACAAAAAGAGTGTTTCAAATCTGCTCTGTGTAAAGGGACGTTCCACTCTGTGAGTTGAATACACACAGCACAAAGAAGTTACTGAGAATTCTTCTGTCTAGTATGAAAAGAAGAAATCCCGTTTCCAACGAAGGCCTCAATGCGGTCCATATATCCACTTGCAGACTTTACAAACAGAGTGTTTCCAATCTGCTCTATGAAAAGAAAGGTTAAACTATGTGAGTTGAACGCACACATCACAAAGAATTTTCTGAGAATGATTCTGTCTGGTTTTTATTTGAAGATATTTCCCTTTCTACTGTTGGCATCAAATGGCTAGAAATCTCCACTTGCAAATTCCGCAAAAAGAGTGTTTCAAATCTGCTCTGTCTAAAGGGACGTTCCACTCTGTGAGTTGAATGCACACAACACAAAGAATTTACTGAGAATTCTTCCGTCTAGCATTCAATGAAGAAATCCCGTTTCCAACGAAGGCCTCAAACAGGTCCATATATCCACTTGCAGACTTTACAAACAGTGTGTTTCCAAACTCCTCTATGAAAAGAAAGGTTAAACTCTGTGAGTGGAACGCACACATCACAAAGCACTTTCTGAGAATGATTCTGTCTGGTTATTATACGAAGATATTTCTTTTTCTGCAATTGTCCTCAAATCGCTTGAAATCTCCACCTGAAAATGCCACAGCAAGAGTGTTTCAAATCTGCTCTCTCTAAAGCAAGGTTCAACTCTGTGAGTTGAATACACACAGCACAAAGAAGTTACTGAGAATTCTTCTTAGTCTAGCATGAAAGGAAGAAACCCCGTTTGCAACGAAGGCCTCAAAGAGGTCCAAATATCCACTTGCAGACATAACAAGCAGAGTGTTTCTAAACTGCTCTAAGAAAAGAAAGGTTAAACTCTGTGAGTTGAAGGCACACATCACAAAGTATTTTCTGAGAATGATTCTGTCTAGTTTTTATTTGAAGATATTTCCTTTTCTACTGTTGGCATCAAATCGCTTGAAATCTCCACTTGCAAATTCCACAAAAAGAGTGTTTCAAATCTGCTCTGTGCAAAGGGACGTTCCACTCTGTGAGTTGAATACACACAGCACAAAGAAGTTACTGAGAATTCTTCTGTCTAGCATGAAATGAAGAAATCCCGTTTCCAACGAAGGCCTCAATGCGGTCCATATATCCACTTGCAGACTTTACAAACAGAGTGTTTCCAAACTGCTCTATGAAAAGAAAGGTTAAACTATGTGAGTTGAACGCACACATCACAAAGAATTTTCTGAGAATGATTCTGTCTGGTTTTTATTTGAAGATATTTCCCTTTCTACTGTTGGCATCAAATGGCTAGAAATCTCCACTTGCAAATTCCGCAAAAAGAGTGTTTCAAATCTGCTCTGTCTAAAGGGACGTTCCACTCTGTGAGTTGAATGCACACAACACAAAGAATTTACTGAGAATTCTTCCCGTCTAGCATTCAATGAAGAAATCCCGTTTCCAACGAAGGCCTCAAACAGGTCCATATATCCACTTGCAGACTTTACAAACAGTGTGTTTCCAAACTCCTCTATGAAAAGAAAGGTTAAACTCTGTGAGTTGAACGCACACATCACAAAGCACTTTCTGAGAATGATTCTGTCTGGTTATTATACGAAGATATTTCCTTTTCTGCAATTGTCCTCAAATCGCTTGAAATCTCCACCTGAAAATGCCACAGCAAGAGTGTTTCAAATCTGCTCTCTCTAAAGCAAGGTTCAACTCTGTGAGTTGAATACACACAACACAAAAAAGTTACTGAGAACTCTTCTTAGTCTAGCATTAAAGGAAGAAATCCCGTTTGCAACGAAGGCCTCAAAGAGGTCCAAATATCCACTTGCAGACATAACAAGCAGAGTGTTTCTAAACTGCTCTAAGAAAAGAAAGGTTAAACTCTGCGAGTTGAAGGCACACATCACAAAGTAGTTTCTGAGAATGATTCTGTCTAGTTTTTATTTCAAGATATTTCCTTTTCTACTGTTGGCATCATATCGCTTGAAATCTCCACTTGCAAATTCCACAAAAAGAGTGTTTCAAATCTGCTCTGTGTAAAGGGACGTTGCACTCTGTGAGTTGAATACACACAGCACAAAGAAGTTACTGAGAATTCTTCTGTCTAGCATGAAATGAAGAAATCCCGTTTCCAACGAAGGCCTCAATGCGGTCCATATATCCACTTGCAGACTTTACAAACAGAGTGTTTCCAAACTGCTCTATGAAAAGAAAGGTTAAACTATGTGAGTTGAACGCACACATCACAAAGAATTTTCTGAGAATGATTCTGTCTGGTTTTTATTTGAAGATATTTCCCTTTCTACTGTTGGCAGCAAATGGCTAGAAATCTCCACTTGCAAATTCCGCAAAAAGAGTGTTTCAAATCTGCTCTGTCTAAAGGGACGTTCCACTCTGTGAGTTGAATGCACACAACACAAAGAATTTACTGAGAATTCTTCCGTCTAGCATTCAATGAAGAAATCCCGTTTCCAACGAAGGCCTCAAACAGGTCCATATATCCAATTGCAGACTTTACAAACAGTGTGTTTCCAAACTCCTCTATGGAAAGAAAGGTTAAACTCTGTGAGTTGAACGCGCACATCACAAAGCACTTTCTGAGAATGATTCTGTCTGGTTATTATACGAAGATATTTCCTTTTCTGCAATTGTCCTCAAATCGCTTGAAATCTCCACCTGAAAATGCCACAGCTAGAGTGTTTCAAATCTGCTCTCTCTAAAGCAAGGTTCAACTCTGTGAGTTGAATACACACAACACAAAAAAGTTACTGAGAACTCTTTAGTCTAGCATGAAAGGAAGAAACCCCGTTTGCAACGAAGGCCTCAAAGAGGTCCAAATATCCACTTGCAGACATAACAAGCAGAGTGTTTCTAAACTGCTCTAAGAAAAGAAAGGTTAAACTCTGTGAGTTGAAGGCACACATCACAAAGTAGTTTCTGAGAATGATTCTGTCTAGTTTTTATTTGAAGATATTTCCTTTTCTACTGTTGGCATCAAATCGCTTGAAATCTCCACTTGCAAACTCCACAAAAAGAGTGTTTCAAATCTGCTCTGTGTAAAGGGACGTTCCACTCTGTGAGTTGAATACACACAGCACAAAGAAGTTACTGAGAATTCTTCTGTCTAGCATAAAATGAAGAAATCCCGTTTCCAACGAAGGCCTCAATGCGGTCCATATATCCACTTGCAGACTTTACAAACAGAGTGTTACCAAACTGCTCTATGAAAAGAAAGGTTAAACTATGTGAGTTGAACGCACACATCACAAAGAATTTTCTGAGAATGATTCTGTCTGGTTTTTATTTGAGATATTTCCCTTTCTACTGTTGGCATCAAATGGCTAGAAATCTCCACTTGCAAATTCCGCAAAAAGAGTGTTTCAAATCTGCTCTGTCTAAAGGGACGTTCCACTCTGTGAGTTGAATGCACACAACACAAAGAATTTACTGAGAATTCTTCCGTCTAGCATTCAATGAAGAAATCCCGTTTCCAACGAAGGCCTCAAAGAGGTCCATATATCCACTTGCAGACTTTACAAACAGTGTGTTTCCAAACTCCTCTATGAAAAGAAAGGTTAAACTCTGTGAGTGGAACGCACACATCACAAAGCACTTTCTGAGAATGATTCTGTCTGGTTATTATACGAAGATATTTCCTTTTCTGCAATTGTCCTCAAATCGCTTGAAATCTCCACCTGAAAATGCCACAGCAAGAGTGTTTCAAATCTGCTCTCTCTAAAGCAAGGTTCAACTCTGTGAGTTGAATACACACAACACAAAAAAGTTACTGAGAACTCTTCTTAGTCTAGCATGAAAGGAAGAAACCCCGTTTGCAACGAAGGCCTCAAAGAGGTCCAAATATCCACTTGCAGACATAACAAGCAGAGTGTTTCTAAACTGCTCTAAGAAAAGAAAGGTTAAACTCTGTGAGTTGAAGGCACACATCACAAAGTAGTTTCTGAGAATGATTCTGTCTAGTTTTTATTTGAAGATATTTCCTTTTCTACTGTTGGCATCAAATCGCTTGAAATCTCCACTTGCAAACTCCACAAAAAGAGTGTTTCAAATCTGCTCTGTGTAAAGGGACGTTCCACTCTGTGAGTTGAATACACACAGCACAAAGAAGTTACTGAGAATTCTTCTGTCTAGCATGAAATGAAGAAATCCCGTTTCCAACGAAGGCCTCAATGCGGTCCATATATCCACTTGCAGACTTTACAAACAGAGTGTTTCCAAACTGCTCTATGAAAAGAAAGGTTAAACTATGTGAGTTGAACGCACACATCACAAAGAATTTTCTGAGAATGATTCTGTCTGGTTTTTATTTGAAGATATTTCCCTTTCTACTGTTGGCATCAAATGGCTAGAAATCTCCACTTGCAAATTCCGCAAAAAGAGTGTTTCAAATCTGCTCTGTCTAAAGGGACGTTCCACTCTGTGAGTTGAATGCACACAACACAAAGAATTTACTGAGAATTCTTCCGTCTAGCATTCAATGAAGAAATCCCGTTTCCAACGGAGGCCTCAAACAGGTCCATATATCCAATTGCAGACTTTACAAACAGTGTGTTTCCAAACTCCTCTATGAAAAGAAAGGTTAAACTCTGTGAGTTGAACGCACACATCACAAAGCACTTTCTGAGAATGACTCTGTCTGGTTATTATACGAAGATATTTCCTTTTCTGCAATTGTCCTCAAATCGCTTGAAATCTCCACCTGAAAATGCCACAGCAAGAGTGTTTCAAATCTGCTCTCTCTAAAGCAAGGTTCAACTCTGTGAGTTGAATACACACAACACAAAAAAGTTACTGAGAACTCTTCTTAGTCTAGCATGAAAGGAAGAAACCCCGTTTGCAACGAAGGCCTCAAAGAGGTCCAAATATCCACTTGCAGACATAACAAGCAGAGTGTTTCTAAACTGCTCTAAGAAAAGAAAGGTTAAACTCTGTGAGTTGAAGGCACACATCACAAAGTAGTTTCTGAGAATGATTCTGTCTAGTTTTTATTTGAAGATATTTCATTTTCTACTGTTGGCATCAAATCGCTTGAAATCTCCACTTGCAAACTCCACAAAAAGAGTGTTTCAAATCTGCTCTGTGTAAAGGGACGTTCCACTCTGTGAGTTGAATACACACAGCACAAAGAAGTTACTGAGAATTCTTCTGTCTAGCATGAAATGAAGAAATCCCGTTTCCAACGAAGGCCTCAATGCGGTCCATAGATCCACTTGCAGACTTTACAAACAGAGTGTTTCCAAACTGCTCTATGAAAAGAAAGGTTAAACTATGTGAGTTGAACGCACACATCACAAAGAATTTTCTGAGAATGATTCTGTCTGGTTTTTATTTGAAGATATTTCCCTTTCTACTGTTGGCATCAAATGGCTAGAAATCTCCACTTGCAAATTCCGCAAAAAGAGTGTTTCAAATCTGCTCTGTCTAAAGGGACGTTCCACTCTGTGAGTTGAATGCACACAACACAAAGAATTTACTGAGAATTCTTCCGTCTAGCATTCAATGAAGAAATCCCGTTTCCAACGAAGGCCTCAAACAGGTCCATATATCCACTTGCAGAGTTTACAAACAGTGTGTTTCCAAACTCCTCTATGAAAAGAAAGGTTAAACTCTGTGAGTGGAACGCACACATCACAAAGCACTTTCTGAGAATGATTCTGTCTGGTTATTATACGAAGATATTTCCTTTTCTGCAATTGTCCTCAAATCGCTTGAAATCTCCACCTGAAAATGCCACAGCAAGAGTGTTTCAAATCTGCTCTCTCTAAAGCAAGGTTCAACTCTGTGAGTTGAATACACACAACACAAAAAAGTTACTGAGAACTCTTCTTAGTCTAGCATGAAAGGAAGAAACCCCGTTTGCAACGAAGGCCTCAAAGAGGTCCAAATATCCACTTGCAGACATAACAAGCAGAGTGTTTCTAAACTGCTCTAAGAAAAGAAAGGTTAAACTCTGTGAGTTGAAGGCACACATCACAAAGTAGTTTCTGAGAATGATTCTGTCTAGTTTTTATTTGAAGATATTTCCTTTTCTACTGTTGGCATCAAATCGCTTGAAATCTCCACTTGCAAACTCCACAAAAAGAGTGTTTTAAATCTGCTCTGTGCAAAGGGACGTTCCACTCTGTGAGTTGAATACACACAGCACAAAGAAGTTACTGAGAATTCTTCTGTCTAGCATGAAATGAAGAAATCCCGTTTCCAACGAAGGCCTCAATGCGGTCCATATATCCACTTGCAGACTTTACAAACAGAGTGTTTCCAAACTGCTCTATGAAAAGAAAGGTTAAACTATGTGAGTTGAACGCACACATCACAAAGAATTTTCTGAGAATGATTCTGTCTGGTTTTTATTTGAAGATATTTCCCTTTCTACTGTTGGCATCAAATGGCTAGAAATCTCCACTTGCAAATTCCGCAAAAAGAGTGTTTCAAATCTGCTCTGTCTAAAGGGACGTTCCACTCTGTGAGTTGAATGCACACAACACAAAGAATTTACTGAGAATTCTTCCGTCTAGCATTCAATGAAGAAATCCCGTTTCCAACGAAGGCCTCAAACAGGTCCATATATCCAATTGCAGACTTTACAAACAGTGTGTTTCCAAACTCCTCTATGAAAAGAAAGGTTAAACTCTGTGAGTTGAACGCACACATCACAAAGCACTTTCTGAGAATGATTCTGTCTGGTTATTATACGAAGATATTTCCTTTTCTGCAATTGTCCTCAAAACGCTTGAAATCTCCACCTGAAAATGCCACAGCAAGAGTGTTTCAAATCTGCTCTCTCTAAAGCAAGGTTCAACTCTGTGAGTTGAATACACACAACACAAAAAAGTTACTGAGAACTCTTCTTAGTCTAGCATTAAAGGAAGAAACGCCGTTTGCAACGAAGGCCTCAAAGAGGTCCAAATATCCACTTGCAGACATAACAAGCAGAGTGTTTCTAAACTGCTCTAAGAAAAGAAAGGTTAAACTCTGTGAGTTGAAGGCACACATCACAAAGTAGTTTCTGAGAATGATTCTGTCTAGTTTTTATCTGAAGATATTTCCTTTTCTACTGTTGGCATCAAATCGCTTGAAATCTCCACTTTAAACTCCACAAAAAGAGTGTTTCAAATCTGCTCTGTGTAAAGGGACGTTCCACTCTGTGAGTTGAATACACACAGCACAAAGAAGTTACTGAGAATTCTTCAGTCTAGCATGAAATGAAGAAATCCCGTTTCCAAAGAAGGCCTCAATGCGGTCCATATATCCACTTGCAGACTTTACAAACAGAGTGTTTCCAAACTGCTCTATGAAAAGAAAGGTTAAACTATGTGAGTTGAACGCACACATCACAAAGAATTTTCTGAGAATGATTCTGTCTGGTTTTTATTTGAAGATATTTCCCTTTCTACTGTTGGCATCAAATGGCTAGAAATCTCCACTTGCAAATTCCGCAAAAAGAGTGTTTCAAATCTGCTCTGTCTAAAGGGACGTTCCACTCTGTGAGTTAAATGCACACAACACAAAGAATTTACTGAGAATTCTTCCGTCTAGCATTCAATGAAGAAATCCCGTTTCCAACGAAGGCCTCAAACCGGTCCATATATCCACTTGCAGACTTTACAAACAGTGTGTTTCCAAACTCCTCTATGAAAAGAAAGGTTAAACTCTGTGAGTTGAACGCACACATCACAAAGCACTTTCTGAGAATGATTCTGTCTGGTTGTTATACGAAGATATTTCCTTTTCTGCAATTGTCCTCAAATCGCTTGAAATCTCCACCTGAAAATGCCACAGCAAGAGTGTTTCAAATCTGCTCTCTCTAAAGCAAGGTTCAACTCTGTGAGTTGAATACACACAACACAAAAAAGTTACTGAGAACTCTTCTTAGTCTAGCATGAAAGGAAGAAACCCCGTTTGCAACGAAGGCCTCAAAGAGGTCCAAATATCCACTTGCAGACATAACAAGCAGAGTGTTTCTAAACTGCTCTAAGAAAAGAAAGGTTAAACTCTGTGAGTTGAAGGCACACATCACAAAGTAGTTTCTGAGAATGATTCTGTCTAGTTTTTATTTGAAGATATTTCCTTTTCTACTGTTGGCATCAAATCGCTTGAAATCTACACTTGCAAACTCCACAAAAAGAGTGTTTCAAATCTGCTCTGTGTAAAGGGACGTTCCACTCTGTGAGTTGAATACACACAGCACAAAGAAGTTATTGAGAATTCTTCTGTCTAGCATGAAATGAAGGAAATCCCGTTTCCAACGAAGGCCTCAATGCGGTCCATATATCCACTTGCAGACTTTACAAACAGAGTGTTTCCAAACTGCTCTATGAAAAGAAAGGTTAAACTATGTGAGTTGAACGCACACATCACAAAGAATTTTCTGAGAATGATTCTGTCTGGTTTTTATTTGAAGATATTTCCCTTTCTACTGTTGGCATCAAATGGCTAGAAATCTCCACTTGCAAATTCCGCAAAAAGAGTGTTTCAAATCTGCTCTGTCTAAAGGGACGTTCCACTCTGTGAGTTGAATGCACACAACACAAAGAATTTACTGAGAATTCTTCCGTCTAGCATTCAATGAAGAAATCCCGTTTCCAACGAAGGCCTCAAACAGGTCCATATATCCACTTGCAGAGTTTACAAACAGTGTGTTTCCAAACTCCTCTATGAAAAGAAAGGTTAAACTCTGTGAGTGGAAAGCACACATCACAAAGCACTTTCTGAGAATGATTCTGTCTGGTTATTATACGAAGATATTCCCTTTTCTGCAATTTTCCTCAAATCGTTGAAATCTCCACCTGAAAATGCCACAGCAAGAGTGTTTCAAATCTGCTCTCTCTAAAGCAAGGTTCAACTCTGTGAGTTGAATACACACAGCACAAAGAAGTTACTGAGAATTCTTCTGTCTAGCATGAAATGAAGAAATCCCGTTTCCAACGAAGGCCTCAATGCGGTCCATATATCCACTTGCAGACTTTACAAACAGAGTGTTTCCAAACTGCTCTATGAAAAGAAAGGTTAAACTATGTGAGTTGAACGCACACATCACAAATAATTTTCTGAGAATGATTCTGTCTGGTTTTTATTTGAAGATATTTCCCTTTCTACTGTTGGCATCAAATGGCTAGAAATCTCCACTTGCAAATTCCACAAAAAGAGTGTTTCAAATCTGCTCTGTCTAAAGGGACGTTCCACTCTGTGAGTTGAATGCACACAACACAAAGAATTTACTGAGAATTCTTCCGTCTAGCATTCAATGAAGAAATCCCGTTTCCAACGAAGGCCTCAAACAGGTCCATATATCCAATTGCAGACTTTACAAACAGTGTGTTTCCAAACTCCTCTATGAAAAGAAAGGTTAAACTCTGTGAGTTGAACGCACACATCACAAAGCACTTTCTGAGAATGATTCTGTCTGGTTATTATACGAAGATATTTCCTTTTCTGCAATTGTCCTCAAATCGCTTGAAATCTCCACCTGAAAATGCCACAGCAAGAGTGTTTCAAATCTGCTCTCTCTAAAGCAAGGTTCAACTCTGTGAGTTGAATACACACAACACAAAAAAGTTACTGAGAACTCTTCTTAGTCTAGCATGAAAGGAAAAAACCCCGTTTGCAACGAAGGCCTCAAAGAGGTCCAAATATCCACTTGCAGACATAACAAGCAGAGTGTTTCTAAGCTGCTCTAAGAAAAGAAAGGTTAAACTCTGTGAGTTGAAGGCACACATCACAAAGTAGTTTCTGAGAATGATTCTGTCTAGTTTTTATTTGAAGATACTTCCTTTTCTACTGTTGGCATCAAATCGCTTGAAATCTCCACTTGCAAACTCCACAAAACGAGTGTTTCAAATCTGCTCTGTGTAAAGGGACGTTCCACTCTGTGAGTTGAATACACACAGCACAAAGAAGTTACTGAGAATTCTTCTGTCTAGCATGAAATGAAGAAATCCCGTTTCCAACGAAGGCCTCAATGCGGTCCATAGATCCACTTGCAGACTTTACAAACAGAGTGTTTCCAAACTGCTCTATGAAAAGAAAGGTTAAACTATGTGAGTTGAACGCACACATCACAAAGAATTTTCTGAGAATGATTCTGTCTGGTTTTTATTTGAAGATATTTCCCTTTCTACTGTTGGCATCAAATGGCTAGAAATCTCCACTTGCAAATTCCGCCAAAAAGTGTTTCAAATCTGCTCTGTCTAAAGGGACGTTCCACTCTGTGAGTTGAATGCACACAACACAAAGAATTTACTGAGAATTCTTCCGTCTAGCATTCAATGAAGAAATCCCGTTTCCAACGAAGGCCTCAAACAGGTCCATATATCCAATTGCAGACATTACAAACAGTGTGTTTCCAAACTCCTCTATGAAAAGAAAGGTTAAACTCTGTGAGTTGAACGCACACATCACAAAGCACTTTCTGAGAATGATTCTGTCTGGTTATTATACGAAGATATTTCCTTTTCTGCAATTGTCCTCAAATCGCTTGAAATCTCCACCTGAAAATGCCACAGCAAGAGTGTTTCAAATCTGCTCTCTCTAAAGCAAGGTTCAACTCTGTGAGTTGAATACACACAACACAAAAAAGTTACTGAGAACTCTTCTTAGTCTAGCATGAAAGGAAGAAACCCCGTTTGCAACGAAGGCCTCAAAGAGGTCCAAATATCCACTTGCAGACATAACAAGCAGAGTGTTTCTAAACTGCTCTAAGAAAAGAAAGGTTAAACTCTGTGAGTTGAAGGCACACATCACAAAGTAGTTTCTGAGAATGATTCTGTCTAGTTTTTATTTGAAGATATTTCCTTTTCTACTGTTGGCATCAAATCGCTTGAAATCTCCACTTGCAAATTCCACAAAAAGAGTGTTTCAAATCTGCTCTGTGTAAAGGGACGTTCCACTCTGTGAGTTGAATACACACAGCACAAAGAAGTTACTGAGAATTCTTCTGGCTAGCATGAAATGAAGAAATCCCGTTTCCAACGAAGGCCTCAATGAGGTCCATATATCCACTTGCAGACTTTACAAACAGAGTGTTTCCAAACTGCTCTATGAAAAGAAAGGTTAAATTATGTGAGTTGAACGCACACATCACAAAGAATTTTCTGAGAATGATTCTGTCTGGTTTTTATTTGAAGATATTTCCCTTTCTACTGTTGGCATCAAATGGCTAGAAATCTCCACTAGCAAATTCCGCAAAAAGAGTGTTTCAAATCTGCTCTGTCTAAAGGGACGTTCCACTCTGTGAGTTGAATGCACACAACACAAAGAATTTACTGAGAATTCTTCCCTCTAGCATTCAATGAAGAAATCCCGTTTCCAACGAAGGCCTCAAACAGGTCCATATATCCACTTGCAGACTTTACAAAAAGAGTGTTTCCAAACTGCTCTATGAAAAGAAAGGTTAAACTATGTGAGTTGAACGCACACATCACAAAGAATTTTCTGAGAATGATTCTGTCTGGTTTTTATTTGAAGATATTTCCCTTTCTACTGTTGGCATCAAATGGCTAGAAATCTCCACTTGCAAATTCCGCAAAAAGAGTGTTTCAAATCTGCTCTGTCTAAAGGGACGTTCCACTCTGTCAGTTGAATGCGCACAACACAAAGTATTTACTGAGAATTCTTCCGTCTAGCATGCAATGAAGAAATCCCGTTTCCAACGAAGGCCTCAAACAGGTCCATATATCCAATTGCAGACTTTACAAACAGTGTGTTTCCAAACTCCTCTATGAAAAGAAAGGTTAAACTCTGTGAGTTGAACGCACACATCACAAAGCACTTTCTGAGAATGATTCTGTCTGGTAATTATACGAAGATATTTCCTTTTCTGCAATTGTCCTCAAATCGCTTGAAATCTCCACCTGAAAATTCCACAGCGAGAGTGTTTCAAATCTGCTCTCTCTAAAGCAAGGTTCAACTCTGTGAGTTGAATACACACAACACAAAAAAGTTGCTGAGAACTCTTCTTAGTCTAGCATTAAAGGAAGAAACCCCGTTTGCAACGAAGGCCTCAAAGAGGTCCAAATATCCACTTGCAGACATAACAAGCAGAGTGTTTCTAAACTGCTCTAAGAAAAGAAAGGTTAAACTCTGTGAGTTGAAGGCACACATCACAAAGTAGTTTCTGAGAATGATTCTGTCTAGTTTTTATTTGAAGATATTTCCTTTTCTACTGTTGGCATCAAATCGCTTGAAATCTCCACTTGCAAATTCCACAAAAAGAGTGTTTCAAATCTGCTCTGTGCAAAGGGACGTTCCACTCTGTGAGTTGAATACACACAGCACAAAGAAGTTACTGAGAATTCTTCTGTCTAGCATGAAATGAAGAAATCCCGTTTCCAACGAAGGCCTCAATGCGGTCCATATATCCACTTGCAGACTTTACAAACAGAGTGTTTCCAAACTGCTCTATGAAAAGAAAGGTTAAACTATGTGAGTTGAACGCACACATCACAAAGAATTTTCTGAGAATGATTCTGTCTGGTTTTTATTTGAAGATATTTCCCTTTCTACTGTTGGCATCAAATGGCTAGAAATCTCCACTTGCAAATTCCGCAAAAAGAGTGTTTCAAATCTGCTCTGACTAAAGGGACGTTCCACTCTGTGAGTTGAATGCACACAACACAAAGAATTTACTGAGAATTCTTCCGTCTAGCATTCAATGAAGAAATCCCGTTTCCAACGAAGGCCTCAAACAGGTCCATATATCCAATTGCAGACTTTACAAACAGTGTGTTTCCAAACTCCTCTATGGAAAGAAAGGTTAAACTCTGTGAGTTGAACGCACACATCACAAAGCACTTTCTGAGAGTGATTCTGTCTGGTTGTTATACGAAGATATTTCCTTTTCTGCAATTGTCCTCAAATCGCTTGAAATCTCCACCTGAAAATGCCACAGCAAGAGTGTTTCAAATCTGCTCTCTCTAAAGCAAGGTTCAACTCTGTGAGTTGAATACACACAACACAAAAAATTTACTGAGAACTCTTCTTAGTCTAGCATTAAAGGAAGAAACCCCGTTTGCAACGAAGGCCTCAAAGAGGTCCAAATATCCACTTGCAGACATAACAAGCAGAGTGTTTCTAAACTGCTCTAAGAAAAGAAAGGTTAAACTCTGTGAGTTGAAGGCACACATCACAAAGTAGTTTCTGAGAATGATTCTGTCTAGTTTTTATTTGAAGATATTTCCTTTTCTACTGTTGGCATCAAATCGCTTGAAATCTCCACTTGCAAACTCCACAAAAAGAGTGTTTCAAATCTGCTCTGTGCAAAGGGACGTTCCACTCTGTGAGTTGAATACACACAGCACAAAGAAGTTACTGAGAATTCTTCTGTCTAGCATGAAATGAAGAAATCCCGTTTCCAACGAAGGCCTCAATGCGGTCCATATATCCACTTGCAGACTTTACAAACAGAGTGTTTCCAAACTGCTCTATGAAAAGAAAGGTTAAACTATGTGAGTTGAACGCACACATCACAAAGAATTTTCTGAGAATGATTCTGTCTGGTTTTTATTTGAAGATATTTCCCTTTCTATTGTTGGCATCAAATGGCTAGAAATCTCCACTTGCAAATTCCGCAAAAAGAGTGTTTCAAATCTGCTCTGTCTAAAGGGACGTTCCACTCTGTGAGTTGAATGCACACAACACAAAGAATTTACTGAGAATTCTTCCGTCTAGCATTCAATGAAGAAATCCCGTTTCCAACGAAGGCCTCAAAGAGGTCCATATATCCACTTGCAGACTTTACAAACAGTGTGTTTCCAAACTCCTCTATGAAAAGAAAGGTTAAACTCTGTGAGTTGAACGCACACATCACAAAGCACTTTCTGAGAATGATTCTGTCTGGTTATTATACGAAGATATTTCCTTTTCTGCAATTGTCCTCAAATCGCTTGAAATCTCCACCTGAAAATGCCACAGCAAGAGTGTTTCAAATCTGCTCTCTCTAAAGCAAGGTTCAACTCTGTGAGTTGAATACACACAACACAAAAAAGTTACTGAGAACTCTTCTTAGTCTAGCATGAAAGGAAGAAACCCCGTTTGCAACGAAGGCCTCAAAGAGGTCCAAATATCCACTTGCAGACATAACAAGCAGAGTGTTTCTAAACTGCTCTAAGAAAAGAAAGGTTAAACTCTGTGAGTTGAAGGCACACATCACAAAGTAGTTTCTGAGAATGATTCTGTCTAGTTTTTATTTGAAGATATTTCCTTTTCTACTGTTGGCATCAAATCGCTTGAAATCTCCACTTGCAAACTCCACAAAAAGAGTGTTTTAAATCTGCTCTGTGCAAAGGGACGTTCCACTCTGTGAGTTGAATACACACAGCACAAAGAAGTTACTGAGAATTCTTCTGTCTAGCATGAAATGAAGAAATCCCGTTTCCAACGAAGGCCTCAATGCGGTCCATATATCCACTTGCAGACTTTACAAACAGAGTGTTTCCAAACTGCTCTATGAAAAGAAAGGTTAAACTATGTGAGTTGAACGCACACATCACAAAGAATTTTCTGAGAATGATTCTGTCTGGTTTTTATTTGAAGATATTTCCCTTTCTACTGTTGGCATCAAATGGCTAGAAATCTCCACTTGCAAATTCCGCAAAAAGAGTGTTTCAAATCTGCTCTGTCTAAAGGGACGTTCCACTCTGTCAGTTGAATGCACACAACACAAAGAATTTACTGAGAATTCTTCCGTCTAGCATTCAATGAAGAAATCCCGTTTCCAACGAAGGCCTCAAACAGGTCCATATATCCAATTGCAGACTTTACAAACAGTGTGTTTCCAAACTCCTCTATGAAAAGAAAGGTTAAACTCTGTGAGTTGAACGCACACAACACAAAGCACTTTCTGAGAATGATTCTGTCTGGTTATTATACGAAGATATTTCCTTTTCTGCAATTGTCCTCAAATCGCTTGAAATCTCCACCTGAAAATGCCACAGCAAGAGTGTTTCAAATCTGCTCTCTCTAAAGCATGGTTCAACTCTGTGAGTTGAATACACACAACACAAAAAAGTTACTGAGAACTCTTCTTAGTCTAACATGAAAGGAAGAAACCCCGTTTGCAACGAAGGCCTCAAAGAGGTCCAAATATCCACTTGCAGACATAACAAGCAGAGTGTTTCTAAACTGCTCTAAGAAAAGAAAGGTTAAACTCTGTGAGTTGAAGGCACACATCACAAAGTAGTTTCTGAGAATGATTCTGTCTAGTTTTTATTTGAAGATATTTCCTTTTCTACTGTTGGCATCAAATCGCTTGAAATCTCCACTTGCAAATTCCACAAAAAGAGTGTTTCAAATCTGCTCTGTGCAAAGGGACGTTCCACTCTGTGAGTTGAATACACACAGCACAAAGAAGTTACTGAGAATTCTTCTGTCTAGCATGAAATGAAGAAATCCCGTTTCCAACGAAGGCCTCAATGCGGTCCATATATCCACTTGCAGACTTTACAAACAGAGTGTTTCCAAACTGCTCTATGAAAAGAAAGGTTAAACTATGTGAGTTGAACGCACACATCACAAAGAATTTTCTGAGAATGATTCTGTCTGGTTGTTATTTGAAGATATTTCCCTTTCTACTGTTGGCATCAAATGGCTAGAAATCTCCACTTGCAAATTCCGCAAAAAGAGTGTTTCAAATCTGCTCTGTCTAAAGGGACGTTCCACTCTGTCAGTTGAATGCACACAACACAAAGTATTTACTGAGAATTCTTCCGTCTAGCATTCAATGAAGAAATCCCGTTTCCAACGAAGGCCTCAAACAGGTCCATATATCCAATTGCAGACTTTACAAACAGTGTGTTTCCAAACTCCTCTATGAAAAGAAAGGTTAAACTCTGTGAGTTGAACGCACACAACACAAAGCACTTTCTGAGAATGATTCTGTCTGGTTATTATACGAAGATATTTCCTTTTCTGCAATTGTCCTCAAAACGCTTGAAATCTCCACCTGAAAATGCCACAGCAAGAGTGTTTCAAATCTGCTCTCTCTAAAGCAAGGTTCAACTCTGTGAGTTGAATACACACAACACAAAAAAGTTACTGAGAACTCTTCTTAGTCTAGCATGAAAGGAAGAAACCCCGTTTGCAACGAAGGCCTCAAAGAGGTCCAAATATCCACTTGCAGACATAACAAGCAGAGTGTTTCTAAACTGCTCTAAGAAAAGAAAGGTTAAACTCTGTGAGTTGAAGGCACACATCACAAAGTAGTTTCTGAGAATGATTCTGTCTAGTTTTTATTTGAAGATATTTCCTTTTCTACTGTTGGCATCAAATCGCTTGAAATCTCCACTTGCAAACTCCACAAAAAGAGTGTTTCAAATCTGCTCTCTGTAAAGGGACGTTCCACTCTGTGAGTTGAATACACACAGCACAAAGAAGTTACTGAGTATTCTTCTGTCTAGCATGAAATGAAGAAATCCCGTTTCCAACGAAGGCCTCAATGCGGTCCATATATCCACTTGCAGACTTTACCAACAGAGTGTTTCCAAACTGCTCTATGAAAAGAAAGGTTAAACTATGTGAGTTGAACGCACACATCACAAAGAATTTTCTGAGGATGATTCTGTCTAGTTTTTATTTGAAGATATTTCCCTTTCTACTGTTGGCATCAAATGGCTAGAAATCTCCACTTGCAAATTCCGCAAAAAGAGTGTTTCAAATCTGCTCTGTCTGAAGGGACGTTCCACTCTGTGAGTTGAATGCACACAACACAAAGAATTTACTGAGAATTCTTCCGTCTAGCATTCAATGAAGAAATCCCGTTTCCAACGAAGGCCTCAAACAGGTCCATATATCCAATTGCAGACTTTACAAACAGTGTGTTTCCAAACTCCTCTATGAAAAGAAAGGTTAAACTCTGTGAGTTGAACGCACACAACACAAAGCACTTTCTGAGAATGATTCTCTCTGGTTATTATACGAAGATATTTCCTTTTCTGCAATTGTCCTCAAATCGCTTGAAATCTCCACCTGAAAATGCCACAGCAAGAGTGTTTCAAATCTGCTCTCTCTAAAGCAAGGTTCAACTCTGTGAGTTGAATACACACAACACAAAAAAGTTACTGAGAACTCTTCTTAGTCTAGCATGAAAGGAAGAAACCCCGTTTGCAACGAAGGCCTCAAAGAGGTCCAAATATCCACTTGCAGACATAACAAGCAGAGTGTTTCTAAACTGCTCTAAGAAAAGAAAGGTTAAACTCTGTGAGTTGAAGGCACACATCACAAAGCACTTTCTGAGAATGATTCTGTCTGGTTGTTATACGAAGATATTTCCTTTTCTACTGTTGGCATCAAATCGCTTGAAATCTCCACTTGCAAACTCCACAAAAAGAGTGTTTCAAATCTGCTCTGTGCAAAGGGACGTTCCACTCTGTGAGTTGAATACACACAGCACAAAGAAGTTACTGAGAATTCTTCTGTCTAGCATGAAATGAAGAAATCTCGTTTCCAACGAAGGCCTCAATGCGGTCCATATATCCACTTGCAGACTTTACAAACAGAGTGTTTCCAAACTGCTCTATGAAAAGAAAGGTTAAACTATGTGAGTTGAACGCACACATCACAAAGAATTTTCTGAGAATGATTCTGTCTGGTTTTTATTTGAAGATATTTCCCTTTCTACTGTTGGCATCAAATGGCTAGAAATCTCCACTTGCAAATTCCGCAAAAAGAGTGTTTCAAATCTGCTCTGTCTTAAGGGACGTTCCACTCTGTCAGTTGAATGCACACAACACAAAGAATTTACTGAGAATTCTTCCGTCTAGCATTCAATGAAGAAATCCCGTTTCCAACGAAGGCCTCAAACAGGTCCATATATCCAATTGCAGACTTTACAAACAGTGTGTTTCCAAACTCCTCTATGAAAAGAAAGGTTAAACTCTGTGAGTTGAACGCACACATCACAAAGCACTTTCTGAGAATGATTCTGTCTGGTTATTATACGAAGATATTTCCTTTTCTGCAATTGTCCTCAAATCGCTTGAAATCTCCACCTGAAAATGCCACAGCAAGAGTGTTTCAAATCTGCTCTCTCTAAAGCAAGGTTCAACTCTGTGAGTTGAATACACACAACACAAAAAAGTTACTGAGAACTCTTCTTAGTCTAGCATGAAAGGAAGAAACCCCGTTTGCAACGAAGGCCTCAAAGAGGTCCAAATATCCACTTGCAGACATAACAAGCAGAGTGTTTCTAAACTGCTCTAAGAAAAGAAAGGTTAAACTCTGTGAGTTGAAGGCACACATCACAAAGTAGTTTCTGAGAATGATTCTGTCTAGTTTTTGTTTGCAGATATTTCCTTTTCTACTGTTGGCATCAAATCGCTTGAAATCTCCACTTGCAAATTCCACAAAAAGAGTGTTTCAAATCTGCTCTGTGTAAAGGGACGTTCCAATCTGTGAGTTGAATACACACAACACAAAGAAGTTACTGAGAATTCTTCTGTCTAGCATGAAATGAAGAAATCCCGTTTCCAACGAAGGCCTCAAAGCGGTCCATATATCCACTTGCAGACATTACCAACAGAGTGTTCCCAAACTGCTCTATGAAAAGAAAGGTTAAACTATGTGAGTTGAACGCACACATCACAAAGAATTTTCTGAGAATGATTCTGTCTGGTTTTTATTTGAAGATATTTCCCTTTCTACTGTTGGCATCAAATGGCTAGAAATCTCCACTTGCAAATTCCGCAAAAAGAGTGTTTCAAATCTGCTGTGTCTAAAGGGACGTTCCACTCTGTGAGTTGAATGCACACAACACAAAGAATTTACTGAGAATTCTTCCGTCTAGCATTCAATGAAGAAATCCCGTTTCCAACGAAGGCCTCAAACAGGTCCATATATCCACTTGCAGACTTTACAAACAGTGTGTTTCCAAACTCCTCTATGAAAAGAAAGGTTAAACTCTGTGAGTTGAACGCACACATCACAAAACACTTTCTGAGAATGATTCTGTCTGGTTATTATACGAAGATATTTCCTTTTCTGCAATTGTCCTCAAATCGCTTGAAATCTCCACCTGAAAATGCCACAGCAAGAGTGTTTCAAATCTGCTCTCTCTAAAGCAAGGTTCAACTCTGTGAGTTGAATACACACAACACAAAAGAGTTACTGAGAACTCTTCTTAGTCTAGCATGAAAGGAAGAAACCCCGTTTGCAACGAAGGCCTCAAAGAGGTCCAAATATCCACTTGCAGACATAACAAGCAGAGTGTTTCTAAACTGCTCTAAGAAAAGAAAGGTTAAACTCTGTGAGTTGAAGGCACACATCACAAAGTAGTTTCTGAGAATGATTCTGTCTAGTTTTTATTTGAAGATATTTCCTTTTCTACTGTTGGCATCAAATCGCTTGAAATCTCCACTTGCAAATTCCACAAAAAGAGTGTTTCAAATCTGCTCTGTGCAAAGGGACGTTCCAGTCTGTGAGTTGAATACACACAGCACAAAGAAGTTGCTGAGAATTCTTCTGTCTAGCATGAAATGAAGAAATCCCGTTTCCAACGAAGGCCTCATTGCGGTCCATATATCCACTTGCAGACTTTACAAACAGAGTGTTTCCAAACTGCTCTATGAAAAGAAAGGTTAAACTATGTGAGTTGAACGCACACATCACAAAGAATTTTCTGAGAATGATTCTGTCTGGTTTTTATTTGAAGATATTTCCCTTTCTACTGTTGGCATCAAATGGCTAGAAATCTCCACTTGCAAATTCCGCAAAAAGAGTGTTTCAAATCTGCTCTGTCTAAAGGGACGTTCCACTCTGTGAGTTGAATGCACACAACACAAAGAATTTACTGAGAATTCTTCCGTCTAGCATTCAATGAAGAAATCCCGTTTCCAACGAAGGCCTCAAACAGGTCCATATATCCACTTGCAGACTTTACAAACAGTGTGTTTCCAAACTCCTCTATGAAAAGAAAGGTTAAACTCTGTGAGTTGAACGCACACATCACAAAGCACTTTCTGAGAATGATTCTGTCTGGTTATTATACGAAGATATTTCCTTTTCTGCAATTGTCCTCAAATCGCTTGAAATCTCCACCTGAAAATGCCACAGCAAGAGTGTTTCAAATCTGCTCTCTCTAAAGCAAGGTTCAACTCTGTGAGTTGAATACACACAACACAAAAAAGTTACTGAGAACTCTTCTTAGTCTAGCATGAAAGGAAGAAACCCCGTTTGCAACGAAGGCCTCAAAGAGGTCCAAATATCCACTTGCAGACATAACAAGCAGAGTGTTTCTAAACTGCTCTAAGAAAAGAAAGGTTAAACTCTGTGAGTTGAAGGCAGACATCACAAAGTAGTTTCTGAGAATGATTCTGTCTAGTTTTTATTTGAAGATATTTCCTTTTCTACTGTTGGCATCAAATCGCTTGAAATCTCCACTTGCAAACTCCACAAAAAGAGTGTTTCAAATCTGCTCTGTTCAAAGGGACGTTCCACTCTGTGAGTTGAGTACACACAGCACAAAGAAGTTACTGAGAATTCTTCTGTCTAGCATGAAATGAAGAAATCCCGTTTCCAACGAAGGCCTCAATGCGGTCCATATATCCACTTGCAGACTTTACAAACAGAGTGTTTCCAAACTGCTCTATGAAAAGAAAGGTTAAACTATGTGAGTTGAACGCACACATCACAAAGAATTTTCTGAGAATGATTCTGTCTGGTTTTTATTTGAAGATATTTCCCTTTCTACTGTTGGCATCAAATGGCTAGAAATCTCCACTTGCAAATTCCGCAAAAAGAGTGTTTCAAATCTGCTCTGTCTAAAGGAACGTTCCACTCTGTGAGTTGAATGCACACAACACAAAGAATTTACTGAGAATTCTTCCGTCTAGCATTCAATGAAGAAATCCCGTTTCCAACGAAGGCCTCAAACAGGTCCATATATCCAATTGCAGACTTTACAAACAGTGTGTTTCCAAACTCCTTTATGAAAAGAAAGGTTAACTCTGTGAGTTGAATGCACACATCACAAAGCACTTTCTGATAATGATTCTGTCTAGTTTTTGTTTGCAGATATTTCCTTTTCTACTGTTGGCATCAAATCGCTTGAAATCTCCACTTGCAAATTCCACAAAAAGAGTGTTTCAAATCTGCTCTGTGTAAAGGGACGTTCCAATCTGTGAGTTGAATACACACAACACAAAGAAGTTACTGAGAATTCTTCTGTCTAGCATGAAATGAAGAAATCCCGTTTCCAACGAAGGCCTCAAAGCGGTCCATATATCCACTTGCAGACATTACCAACAGAGTGTTCCCAAACTGCTCTATGAAAAGAAAGGTTAAACTATGTGAGTTGAACGCACACATCACAAAGAATTTTCTGAGAATGATTCTGTCTGGATTTTATTTGAAGATATTTCCCTTTCTGCTGTTGGCATCAAATGGCTAGAAATCTCCACTTGCAAATTCCGCAAAAAGAGTGTTTCAAATCTGCTCTGTCTAAAGGGACGTTCCACTCTGTGAGTTGAATGCACACAACACAAAGAATTTACTGAGAATTCTTCCGTCTAGTATTCAATGAAGAAATCCCGTTTCCAACGAAGGCCTCAAACAGGTCCATATATCCAATTGCAGACTTTACAAACAGTGTGATTCCAAACTCCTCTATGAAAAGAAAGGTTAAACTCTGTGAGTTGAAGGCACAGATCACAAAGTAGTTTCTGAGAATGATTCTGTCTAGTTTTTATTTGCAGATATTTCCTTTTCTACTGTTGGCATCAAATCGCTTGAAATCTCCACTTGCAAACTCCACAAAAAGAGTGTTTCAAATGTGCTCTGTCTAAAGGGACGTTCCACTCTGTGAGTTGAATGCACACAACACAAAGAATTTACTGAGAATTCTTCCGTCTAGCATTCAATGAAGAAATCCCGTTTCCAACGAAGGCCTCAAACAGGTCCATATATCCAATTGCAGACTTTACAAACAGTGTGTTTCCAAACTCCTCTATGAAAAGAAAGGTTAAACTCTGTGAGTTGAACGCACACAACACAAAGCACTTTCTGAGAATGATTCTGTCTGGTTATTATACGAAGATATTTCCTTTTCTGCAATTGTCCTCAAATCGTTTGAAATCTCCACCTGATAATGCCACAGCGAGAGTGTTTCAAATCTGCTCTCTCTAAAGCAAGGTTCAACTCTGTGAGTTGAATACACACAACACAAAAAAGTTACTGAGAACTCTTCTTAGTCTAGCATTAAAGGAAGAAACCCCGTTTGCAACGAAGGCCTCAAAGAGGTCCAAATATCCACTTGCAGACATAACAAGCAGAGTGTTTCTAAGCTGCTCTAAGAAAAGAAAGGTTAAACTCTGTGAGTTGAAGGCACACATCACAAAGTAGTTTCTGAGAATGATTCTGTCTAGTTTTTATTTGAAGATATTTCCTTTTCTACTGTTGGCATAAAATCGCTTGAAATCTCCACTTGCAAACTCCACAAAAAGAGTGTTTCAAATCTGCTCTGTGTAAAGGGACGTTCCACTCTGTGAGTTGAATACACACAGCACAAAGAAGTTACTGAGAATTCTTCTGTCTAGCATGAAATGAAGAAATCCCGTTTCCAACGAAGGCCTCAATGCGGTCCATATATCCACTTGCAGACTTTACAAACAGAGTGTTTCCAAACTGCTCTATGAAAAGAAAGGTTAAACTATGTGAGTTGAACACACACATCACAACGAATTTTCTGAGAATGATTCTGTCTGGTTTTTATTTGAAGATATTTCCCTTTCTACTGTTGGCATCAAATGGCTAGAAATCTCCACTTGCAAATTCCGCAAAAAGAGTGTTTCAAATCTGCTCTGTCTAAAGGGACGTTCCACTCTGTGAGTTGAATGCACACAACACAAAGAATTTACTGAGAATTCTTCCGTCTAGCAATCAATGAAGAAATCCCGTTTCCAACGAAGGCCTCAAACAGGTCCATATATCCACTTGCAGACTTTACAAACAGTGTGTTTCCAAACTCCTCTATGAAAACAAAGGTTAAACTCAGTGAGTTGAACGCACACATCACAAAGCACTTTCTGAGAATGATTCTGTCTGGTTATTATACGAAGATATTTCCTTTTCTGCAATTGTCCTCAAATCGCTTGAAATCTCCACCTGAAAATGCCACAGCAAGAGTGTTTCAAATCTGCTCTCTCTAAAGCAAGGTTCAACTCTGTGAGTTGAATACACACAACACAAAAAAGTTACTGAGAACTCTTCTTAGTCTAGCATGAAAGGAAGAAACCCCGTTTGCAACGAAGGCCTCAAAGAGGTCCAAATATCCACTTGCAGACATAACAAGCAGAGTGTTTCTAAAGTGCTCTAAGAAAAGAAAGGTTAAACTCTGTGAGTTGAAGGCACACATCACAAAGTAGTTTCTGAGAATGATTCTGTCTAGTTTTTATTTGAAGATATTTCCTTTTCTACTGTTGGCATCAAATCGCTTGAAATCTCCACTTGCAAATTCCACAAAAAGAGTGTTTCAAATCTGCTCTGTGCAAAGGGACGTTCCACTCTGTGAGTTGAATACACACAGCACAAAGAAGTTACTGAGAATTCTTCTGTCTAGCATTCAATGAAGAAATCCCGTTTCCAAGGAATGCCTCAAAGCGGTACATATATCCACTTGCAGATTTTACAAACAGTGTGTTTCGAAACTGCTCTATGAAAAGAAAGGTTAAACTATGTGAGCTGAACGCACACATCACAAAGAATTTTCTGAGAATGATTCTGTCTGGTTTTTATTTGAAGATATTTCCCTTTCTACTGTTGGCATCAAATGGCTAGAAATCTGCACTTGCAAATTCCGCAAAAAGAGTGTTTCAAATCTGCTCTGTCTAAAGGGACGTTCCACTCTGTCAGTTGAATGCACACAACACAAAGAATTTACTGAGAATTCTTCCGTCTAGCATTCAATGAAGAAATCCCGTTTCAAACGAAGGCCTCAAACAGGTCCATATATCCAATTGCAGACTTTACAAACAGTGTGTTTCCAAACTCCTCTATGAAAAGAAAGGTTAAACTCTGTGAGTTGAACGCACACATCACAAAGCACTTTGCTGAGAATGATTTCTGTCTGGTTATTATACGAAGATATTTCCTTTTCTGCAATTGTCCTCAAATCGCTTGAAATCTCCACCTGAAAATGCCACAGCAAGAGTGTTTCAAATCTGCTCTCTCTAAAGCAAGGTTCAACTCTGTGAGTTGAATACACACAACACAAAAAAGTTACTGAGAACTCTTCTTAGTCTAGCATTAAAGGAAAAAACCCCGTTTGCAACGAAGGCCTCAAAGAGGTCCAAATATCCACTTGCAGACATAACAAGCAGAGTGTTTCTAAACTCCTCTAAGAAAAGAAAGGTTAAACTCTGTGAGTTGAAGGCACACATCACAAAGAATTTTCTGAGAATGATTCTGTCTGGTTTTTATTTGAAGATATTTCCCTTTCTACTGTTGGCATCAAATGGCTAGAAATCTCCACTTGCAAATTCCGCAAAAAGAGTGTTTCAAATCTGCTCTGTCTAAAGGGACGTTCCACTCTGTGAGTTGAATGCACACAACACAAAGAATTTACTGAGAATTCTTCCGTCTAGCATTCAATGAAGAAATCCCGTTTCCAACGAAGGCCTCAAACAGGTCCATATATCCACTTGCAGACTTTACAAACAGTGTGTTTCCAAACTCCTCTATGAAAAGAAAGGTTAAACTCTGTGAGTGGAACGCACACATCACAAAGCACTTTCTGAGAATGATTCTGTCTGGTTATTATACGAAGATATTTCCTTTTCTGCAATTGTCCTCAAATCGCTTGAAATCTCCACCTGAAAATGCCACAGCAAGAGTGTTTCAAATCTGCTCTCTCTAAAGCAAGGTTCAACTCTGTGAGTTGAATACACACAACACAAAAAAGTTACTGAGAACTCTTCTTAGTCTAGCATGAAAGGAAGAAACCCCGTTTGCAACGAAGGCCTCAAAGAGGTCCAAATATCCACTTGCAGACATAACAAGCAGAGTGTTTCTAAAGTGCTCTAAGAAAAGAAAGGTTAAACTCTGTGAGTTGAAGGCACACATCACAAAGTAGTTTCTGAGAATGATTCTGTCTAGTTTTTATTTGAAGATATTTCCTTTTCTACTGTTGGCATCAGATCGCTTGAAATCTCCACTTGCAAACTCCACAAAAAGAGTGTTTCAAATCTGCTCTGTGTAAAGGGACGTTCCACTCTGTGAGTTGAATACACACAGCACAAAGAAGTTACTGAGAATTCTTCTGTCTAGCATGAAATGAAGAAATCCCGTTTCCAACGAAGGCCTCAATGCGGTCCATATATCCACTTGCAGACTTTACAAACAGAGTGTTTCCAAACTGCTCTATGAAAAGAAAGGTTAAACTATGTGAGTTGAACGCACACATCACAAAGAATTTTCTGAGAATGATTCTGTCTGGTTTTTATTTGAAGATATTTCCCTTTCTACTGTTGGCATCAAATGGCTAGAAATCTCCACTTGCAAATTCCGCAAAAAGAGTGTTTCAAATCTGCTCTGTCTAAAGGGACGTTCCACTCTGTGAGTTGAATGCACACAACACAAAGAATTTACTGAGAATTCTTCCGTCTAGCATTCAATGAAGAAATCCCGTTTCCAACGAAGGCCTCAAACAGGTCCATATATCCACTTGCAGAGTTTACAAACAGTGTGTTTCCAAACTCCTCTATGAAAAGAAAGGTTAAACTCTGTGAGTGGAACGCACACATCACAAAGCACTTTGCTGAGAATGATTCTGTCTGGTTATTATACGAAGATATTTCTTTTTCTGCAATTGTCCTCAAATCGCTTGAAATCTCCACCTGAAAATTCCACAGCAAGAGTGTTTCAAATCTGCTCTCTCTAAAGCAAGGTTCAACTCTTTGAGTTGAATACACACAACACAAAAAAGTTGCTGAGAACTCTTCTTAGTCTAGCATTAAAGGAAGAAACCCCGTTTGCAACGAAGGCCTCAAAGAGGTCCAAATATCCACTTGCAGACATAACAAGCAGAGTGTTTCTAAACTGCTCTAAGAAAAGAAAGGTTAAACTCTGTGAGTTGAAGGCACACATCACAAAGTAGTTTCTGAGAATGATTCTGTCTAGTTTTTATTTGAAGATATTTCCTTTTCTACTGTTGGCATCAAATCGCTTGAAATCTCCACTTGCAAATTGCACAAAAAGAGTGTTTCAAATCTGCTCTGTGCAAAGGGACGTTCCACTCTGTGAGTTGAATACACACAGCACAAAGAAGTTACTGAGAATTCTTCTGTCTAGCATGAAATGAAGAAATCCCGTTTCCAACGAAGGCCTCAATGCGGTCCATATATCCACTTGCAGACTTTACAAACAGAGTGTTTCCAAACTGCTCTATGAAAAGAAAGGTTAAATTATGTGAGTTGAACGCACACATCACAAAGAATTTTCTGAGAATGATTCTGTCTGGTTTTTATTTGAAGATATTTCCCTTTCTACTGTTGGCATCAAATGGCTAGAAATCTCCACTTGCAAATTCCGCAAAAAGAGTGTTTCAAATCTGCTCTGTCTAAAGGGACGTTCCACTCTGTGAGTTGAATGCACACAACACAAAGAATTTACTGAGAATTCTTCCGTCTAGCATTCAATGAAGAAATCCCGTTTCCAACGAAGGCCTCAAAGAGGTCCATATATCCACTTGCAGACTTTACAAACAGTGTGTTTCCAAACTCCTCTATGAAAAGAAAGGTTAAACTCTGTGAGTGGAACGCACACATCACAAAGCACTTTCTGAGAATGATTCTGTCTGGTTATTATACGAAGATATTTCCTTTTCTGCAATTGTCCTCAAATCGCTTGAAATCTCCACCTGAAAATGCCACAGCAAGAGTGTTTCAAATCTGCTCTCTCTAAAGCAAGGTTCAACTCTGTGAGTTGAATACACACAACACAAAAAAGTTACTGAGAACTCTTCTTAGTCTAGCATTAAAGGAAGAAACCCCGTTTGCAACGAAGGCCTCAAAGAGGTCCAAATATCCACTTGCAGACATAACAAGCAGAGTGTTTCTAAACTGCTCTAAGAAAAGAAAGGTTAAACTCTGTGAGTTGAAGGCACACATCACAAAGTAGTTTCTGAGAATGATTCTGTCTAGTTTTTATTTGAAGATATTTCCTTTTCTACTGTTGGCATCAAATCGCTTGAAATCTCCACTTGCAAACTCCACAAAAAGAGTGTTTCAAATCTGCTCTGTGCAAAGGGACGTTCCACTCTGTGAGTTGAATACACACAGCACAAAGAAGTTACTGAGAATTCTTCTGTCTAGCATGAAATGGAGAAATCCCGTTTCCAACGAAGGCCTCAAAGCGGTCCATATATCCACTTGCAGACTTTACAAACAGAGTGTTTCCAAACTGCTCTATGAAAAGAAAGGTTAAACTATGTGATTTGAACGCACACATCACAAAGAATTTTCTGAGAATGATTCTGTCTGGTTTTTATTTGAAGATATTTCCCTTTCTACTGTTGGCATCAAATGGCTAGAAATCTCCACTTGCAAATTCCGCAAAAAGAGTGTTTCAAATCTGCTCTGTCTAAAGGGACGTTCCACTCTGTGAGTTGAATGCACACAACACAAAGAATTTACTGAGAATTCTTCCGTCTAGCATTCAATGAAGAAATCCCGTTTCCAACGAAGGCCTCAAAGAGGTCCATATATCCACTTGCAGACTTTACAAACAGTGTGTTTCCAAACTCCTCTATGAAAAGAAAGGTTAAACTCTGTGAGTGGAACGCACACATCACAAAGCACTTTCTGAGAATGATTCTGTCTGGTTATTATACGAAGATATTTCCTTTTCTGCAATTGTCCTCAAAACGCTTGAAATCTCCACCTGAAAATGCCACAGCAAGAGTGTTTCAAATCTGCTCTCTCTAAAGCAAGGTTCAACTCTGTGAGTTGAATACACACAACACAAAAAAGTTACTGAGAACTCTTCTTAGTCTAGCATGAAAGGAAGAAACCCCGTTTGCAACGAAGGCCTCAAAGAGGTCCAAATATCCACTTGCAGACATAACAAGCAGAGTGTTTCTAAACTGCTCTAAGAAAAGAAAGGTTAAACTCTGTGAGTTGAAGGCACACATCACAAAGTAGTTTCTGAGAATGATTCTGTCTAGTTTTTATTTGAAGATATTTCCTTTTCTACTGTTGGCATCAAATCGCTTGAAATCTCCACTTGCAAACTCCACAAAAAGAGTGTTTCAAATCTGCTCTGTGTAAAGGGACGTTCCACTCTGTGAGTTGAATACACACAGCACAAAGAAGTTACTGAGAATTCTTCTGTCTAGCATGAAATGAAGAAATCCCGTTTCCAACGAAGGCCTCAATGCGGTCCATATATCCACTTGCAGACTTTACAAACAGAGTGTTTCCAAACTGCTCTATGAAAAGAAAGGTTAAACTATGTGAGTTGAACGCACACATCACAAAGAATTTTCTGAGAATGATTCTGTCTGGTTTTTATTTGAAGATATTTCCCTTTCTACTGTTGGCATCAAATGGCTAGAAATCTCCACTTGCAAATTCCGCAAAAAGAGTGTTTCAAATCTGCTCTGTCTAAAGGGACGTTCCACTCTGTGAGTTGAATGCACACAACACAAAGAATTTACTGAGAATTCTTCCGTCTAGCATTCAATGAAGAAATCCCGTTTCCAACGAAGGCCTCAAACAGGTCCATATATCCACTTGCAGACTTTACAAACAGTGTGTTTCCAAACTCCTCTATGAAAAGAAAGGTTAAACTCTGTGAGTGGAACGCACACATCACAAAGCACTTTCTGAGAATGATTCTGTCTGGTTATTATACGAAGATATTTCCTTTTCTGCAATTGTCCTCAAAACGCTTGAAATCTCCACCTGAAAATGCCACAGCAAGAGTGTTTCAAATCTGCTCTCTCTAAAGCAAGGTTCAACTCTGTGAGTTGAATACACACAACACAAAAAAGTTACTGAGAACTCTTCTTAGTCTAGCATGAAATTAAGAAATCCCGTTTGCAACGAAGGCCTCAAAGAGGTCCAAATATCCACTTGCAGACATAACAAGCAGAGTGTTTCTAAACTGCTCTAAGAAAAGAAAGGTTAAACTCTGTGAGTTGAAGGCACACATCACAAAGTAGTTTCTGAGAATGATTCTGTCTAGTTTTTATTTGAAGATATTTCCTTTTCTACTGTTGGCATCAAATCGCTTGAAATCTCCACTTGCAAACTCCACAAAAAGAGTGTTTCAAATCTGCTCTGTGTAAAGGGACGTTCCACTCTGTGAGTTGAATACACACAGCACAAAGAAGTTACTGAGAATTCTTCTGTCTAGCATGAAATGAAGAAATCCCGTTTCCAACGAAGGCCTCAATGCGGTCCATATATCCACTTGCAGACTTTACAAACAGAGTGTTTCCAAACTGCTCTATGAAAAGAAAGGTTAAACTATGTGAGTTGAACGCACACATCACAAAGAATTTTCTGAGAATGATTCTGTCTGGTTTTTATTTGAAGATATTTCCCTTTCTACTGTTGGCATCAAATGGCTAGAAATCTCCACTTGCAAATTCCGCAAAAAGAGTGTTTCAAATCTGCTCTGTCTAAAGGGACGTTCCACTCTGTGAGTTGAATGCACACAACACAAAGAATTTACTGAGAATCCTTCCGTCTAGCATTCAATGATGAAATCCCGTTTCCAACGAAGGCCTCAAACAGGTCCATATATCCAATTGCAGACTTTACAAACAGTGTGTTTCCAAACTCCTCTATGAAAAGAAAGGTTAAACTCTGTGAGTTGAACGCACACATCACAAAGCACTTTCTGAGAATGATTCTGTCTGGTTATTATACGAAGATATTTCCTTTTCTGCAATTGTCCTCAAATCGCTTGAAATCTCCACCTGAAAATTCCACAGCGAGAGTGTTTCAAATCTGCTCTCTCTAAAGCAAGGTTCAACTCTGTGAGTTGAATACACACAACACAAAAAAGTTACTGAGAACTCTTCTTAGTCTAGCATGAAAGGAAGAAACCCCGTTTGCAACGAAGGCCTCAAAGAGGTCCAAATATCCACTTGCAGACATAACAAGCAGAGTGTTTCTAAACTGCTCTAAGAAAAGAAAGGTTAAACTCTGTGAGTTGAAGGCACACATCACAAAGTAGTTTCTGAGAATGATTCTGTCTAGTTTTTATTTGAAGATATTTCCTTTTCTACTGTTGGCATCAAATTGCTTGAAATCTCCACTTGCAAACTCCACAAAAAGAGTGTTTCAAATCTGCTCTGTGCAAAGGGACGTTCCACTCTGTCAGTTGAATACACACAGCACAAAGAAGTTACTGAGAATTCTTCTGTCTAGCATGAAATGAAGAAATCCCGTTTCCAACGAAGGCCTCAATGCGGTCCATATATCCACTTGCAGACTTTACAAACAGAGTGTTTCCAAACTGCTCTATGAAAAGAAAGGTTAAACTATGTGAGTTGAACGCACACATCACAAAGAATTTTCTGAGAATGATTCTGTCTGGTTTTTATTTGAAGATATTTCCCTTTCTACTGTTGGCATCAAATGGCTAGAAATCTCCACTTGCAAATTCCGCAAAAAGAGTGTTTCAAATCTGCTCTGTCTAAAGGGACGTTCCACTCTGTGAGTTGAATGCACACAACACAAAGAATTTACTGAGAATTCTTCCGTCTAGCATTCAATGAAGAAATCCCGTTTCCAACGAAGGCCTCAAACAGGTCCATATATCCACTTGCAGAGTTTACAAACAGTGTGTTTCCAAACTCCTCTATGAAAAGAAAGGTTAAACTCTGTGAGTGGAACGCACACATCACAAAGCACTTTCTGAGAATGATTCTGTCTGGTTATTATACGAAGATATTTCCTTTTCTGCAATTGTCCTCAAAACGCTTGAAATCTCCACCTGAAAATGCCACAGCAAGAGTGTTTCAAATCTGCTCTCTCTAAAGCAAGGTTCAACTCTGTGAGTTGAATACACACAACACAGAAAAGTTACTGAGAACTCTTCTTAGTCTAGCATGAAAGGAAGAAACCCCGTTTGCAACGAAGGCCTCAAAGAGGTCCAAATATCCACTTGCAGACATAACAAGCAGAGTGTTTCTAAACTGCTCTAAGAAAAGAAAGGTTAAACTCTGTGAGTTGAAGGCACACATCACAAAGTAGTTTCTGAGAATGATTCTGTCTAGTTTTTATTTGAAGATATTTCCTTTTCTACTGTTGGCATAAAATCGCTTGAAATCTCCACTTGCAAACTCCACAAAAAGAGTGTTTCAAATCTGCTCTGTGTAAAGGGACGTTGCACACTGTGAGTTGAATACACACAGCACAAAGAAGTTACTGAGAATTCTTCTGTCTAGCATGAAATGAAGAAATCCCGTTTCCAAAGAAGGCCTCAATGCGGTCCATATATCCACTTGCAGACTTTACAAACAGAGTGTTTCCAAACTGCTCTATGAAAAGAAAGGTTAAACTATGTGAATTGAACGCACACATCACAAAGAATTTTCTGAGAATGATTCTGTCTGGTTTTTATTTGAAGATATTTCCCTTTCTACTGTTGGCATCAAATGGCTAGAAATCTCCACTTGCAAATTCCGCAAAAAGAGTGTTTCAAATCTGCTCTGTCTAAAGGGACGTTCCACTCTGTGAGTTGAATGCACACAACACAAAGAATTTACTGAGAATTCTTCCGTCTAGCATTCAATGAAGAAATCCCGTTTCCAACGAAGGCCTCAAACAGGTCCATATATCCACTTGCAGAGTTTACAAACAGTGTGTTTCCAAACTCCTCTATGAAAAGAAAGGTTAAACTCTGTGAGTGGAACGCACACATCACAAAGCACTTTCTGAGAATGATTCTGTCTGGTTATTATACGAAGATATTTCCTTTTCTGCAATTGTCCTCAAAACGCTTGAAATCTCCACCTGAAAATGCCACAGCAAGAGTGTTTCAAATCTGCTCTCTCTAAAGCAAGGTTCAACTCTGTGAGTTGAATACACACAACACAAAAAAGTTACTGAGAACTCTTCTTAGTCTAGCATTAAAGGAAGAAACCCCGTTTGCAACGAAGGCCTCAAAGAGGTCCAAATATCCACTTGCAGACATAACAAGCAGAGTGTTTCTAAACTGCTCTAAGAAAAGAAAGGTTAAACTCTGTGAGTTGAAGGCACACATCACAAAGTAGTTTCTGAGAATGATTCTGTCTAGTTTTTATTTGAAGATATTTCCTTTTCTACTGTTGGCATCAAATCGCTTGAAATCTCCGCTTGCAAACTCCACAAAAAGAGTGTTTCAAATCTGCTCTGTGTAAAGGGACGTTCCACTCTGTGAGTTGAATACACACAGCACAAAGAAGTTACTGAGAATTCTTCTGTCTAGCATGAAATGAAGAAATCCCGTTTCCAACGAAGGCCTCAATGCGGTCCATATATCCACTTGCAGACTTTACAAACAGAGTGTTTCCAAACTGCTCTATGAAAAGAAAGGTTAAACTATGTGAGTTGAACGCACACATCACAAAGAATTTTCTGAGAATGATTCTGTCTGGTTTTTATTTGAAGATATTTCCCTTTCTACTGTTGGCATCAAATGGCTAGAAATCTCCACTTGCAAATTCCGCAAAAAGAGTGTTTCAAATCTGCTCTGTCTAAAGGGACGTTCCACTCTGTGAGTTGAATGCACACAACACAAAGAATTTACTGAGAATTCTTCTGTCTAGCAGTCAATGAAGAAACCCCGTTTCCAACGAAGGCCTCAAACAGGTCCATATATCCAATTGCAGACTTTACAAACAGTGTGTTTCCAAACTCCTCTATGAAAAGAAAGGTTAAACTCTGTGAGTTGAACCCACACATCACAAAGCACTTTCTGAGAATGATTCTGTCTGGTTGTTATACGAAGATATTTCCTTTTCTGCAATTGTCCTCAAATCGCTTGAAATCTCCACCTGAAAATGCCACAGCAAGAGTGTTTCAAATCTGCTCTCTCTAAAGCAAGGTTCAACTCTGTGAGTTGAATACACACAACACAAAAAAGTTACTGAGAACTCTTCTTAGTCTAGCATGAAAGGAAGAAACCCCGTTTGCAACGAAGGCCTCAAAGAGGTCCAAATATCCACTTGCAGACATAACAAGCAGAGTGTTTCTAAACTGCTCTAAGAAAAGAAAGGTTAAACTCTGTGAGTTGAAGGCACACATCACAAAGCAGTTTCTGAGAATGATTCTGTCTAGTTTTTATTTGAAGATATTTCCTTTTCTACTGTTGGCATCAAATCGCTTGAAATCTCCACTTGCAAACTCCACAAAAAGAGTGTTTCAAATCTGCTCTGTGTAAAGGGACGTTCCACTCTGTGAGTTGAATACACACAGCACAAAGAAGTTACTGAGAATTCTTCTGTCTAGCATGAAATGAAGAAATCCCGTTTCCAACGAAGGCCTCAATGCGGTCCATATATCCACTTGCAGACTTTACAAACAGAGTGTTTCCAAACTGCTCTATGAAAAGAAAGGTTAAACTATGTGAGTTGAACGCACACATCACAAAGAATTTTCTGAGAATGATTCTGTCTGGTTTTTATTTGAAGATATTTCCCTTTCTACTGTTGGCATCAAATGGCTAGAAATCTCCACTTGCAAATTCCGCAAAAAGAGTGTTTCAAATCTGCTCTGTCTAAAGGGACCGTTCCACTCTGTGAGTTGAATGCACACAACACAAAGAATTTACTGAGAATTCTTCCGTCTAGCATTCAATGAAGAAATCCCGTTTCCAACGAAGGCCTCAAACAGGTCCATATATCCACTTGCAGACTTTACAAACAGTGTGTTTCCAAACTCCTCTATGAAAAGAAAGGTTAAACTCTGTGAGTTGAACGCACACATCACAAAGCACTTTCTGAGAATGATTCTGTCTGGTTATTATACGAAGATATTTCCTTTTCTGCAATTGTCCTCAAATCGCTTGAAATCTCCACCTGAAAATGCCACAGCAAGAGTGTTTCAAATCTGCTCTCTCTAAAGCAAGGTTCAACTCTGTGAGTTGAATACACACAACACAAAAAAGTTACTGAGAACTCTTCTTAGTCTAGCATGAAAGGAAGAAACCCCGTTTGCAACGAAGGCCTCAAAGAGGTCCAAATATCCACTTGCAGACATAACAAGCAGAGTGTTTCTAAACTGCTCTAAGAAAAGAAAGGTTAAACTCTGTGAGTTGAAGGCACACATCACAAAGTAGTTTCTGAGAATGATTCTGTCTAGTTTTTATTTGAAGATATTTCCTTTTCTACTGTTGGCATCAAATCGCTTGAAATCTCCACTTGCAAACTCCACAAAAAGAGTGTTTCAAATCTGCTCTGTGTAAAGGGACGTTCCACTCTGTGAGTTGAATACACACAGCACAAAGAAGTTACTGAGAATTCTTCTGTCTAGCATGAAATGAAGAAATCCCGTTTCCAACGAAGGCCTCAATGCGGTCCATATATCCACTTGCAGACTTTACAAACAGAGTGTTTCCAAACTGCTCTATGAAAAGAAAGGTTAAACTATGTGAGTTGAACGCACACATCACAAAGAATTTTCTGAGAATGATTCTCTCTGGTTTTTATTTGAAGATGTTTCCCTTTCTACTGTTGGCATCAAATGGCTAGAAATCTCCACTTGCAAATTCCGCAAAAAGAGTGTTTCAAATCTGCTCTGTCTTAAGGGACGTTCCACTCTGTCAGTTGAATGCACACAACACAAAGAATTTACTGAGAATTCTTCCGTCTAGCATTCAATGAAGAAATCCCGTTTCCAACGAAGGCCTCAAAGAGGTCCATATATCCAATTGCAGACTTTACAAACAGTGTGTTTCCAAACTCCTCTATGAAAAGAAAGGTTAAACTCTGTGAGTTGAACGCACACATCACAAAGCACTTTCTGAGAATGATTCTGTCTAGTTTTTATTTGAAGATATTTCCCTTTCTACTGTTGGCATCAAATGGCTAGAAATCTCCACTTGCAACTTCCGCAAAAAGAGTGTTTCAAATCTGCTCTGTCTAAAGGGACGTTCCACTGTGTGAGTTGAATGCACACAACACAAAGAATTTACTGAGAATTCTTCCGTCTAGCATTCAATGAAGAAATCCCGTTTCCAACGAAGGCCTCAAACAGGTCCATATATCCACTTGCAGACGTTACAAACAGTGTGTTTCCAAACTCCTCTATGAAAAGAAAGGTTAAACTCTGTGAGTTGAACGCACACATCACAAAGCACTTTCTGAGAATGATTCTGTCTGGTTATTATACGAAGATATTTCCTTTTCTGCAATTGTCCTCAAATGGCTTGAAATCTCCACCTGAAAATGCCACAGCAAGAGTGTTTCAAATCTGCTCTCTCTAAAGCAAGGTTCAACTCTGTGAGTTGAATACACACAACACAAAAAAGTTACTGAGAACTCTTCTTAGTCTAGCATGAAAGGAAGAAACCCCGTTTGCAACGAAGGCCTCAAAGAGGTCCAAATATCCACTTGCAGACATAACAAGCAGAGTGTTTCTAAACTGCTCTAAGAAAAGAAAGGTTAAACTCTGTGAGTTGAAGGCACACATCACAAAGTAGTTTCTGAGAATGATTCTGTCTAGTTTTTATTTGAAGATATTTCCTTTTCTACTGTTGGCATCAAATCGCTTGAAATCTCCACTTGCAAATTCCACAAAAAGAGTGTTTCAAATCTGCTCTGTGCAAAGGGACGTTCCACTCTGTGAGTTGAATACACACAGCACAAAGAAGTTACTGAGAATTCTTCTGTCTAGCATGAAATGAAGAAATCCCGTTTCCAACGAAGGCCTCAATGCGGTCCATATATCCACTTGCAGACTTTACAAACAGAGTGTTTCCAAACTGCTCTATGAAAAGAAAGGTTAAACTATGTGAGTTGAACGCACACATCACAAAGAATTTTCTGAGAATGATTCTGTCTGGTTTTTATTTGAAGATATTTCCCTTTCTACTGTTGGCATCAAATGGCTAGAAATCTCCACTTGCAAATTCCGCAAAAAGAGTGTTTCAAATCTGCTCTGTCTAAAGGGACGTTCCACTCTGTGAGTTGAATGCACACAACACAAAGAATTTACTGAGAATTCTTCCGTCTAGCATTCAATGAAGAAATCCTGTTTCCAACGAAGGCCTCAAACAGGTGCATATATCCAATTGCAGACTTTACAAACAGTGTGTTTCCAAACTCCTCTATGAAAAGAAAGGTTAAACTCTGTGAGTTGAACGCACACATCACAAAGCACTTTCTGAGAATGATTCTGTCTGGTTGTTATACGAAGATATTTCCTTTTCTGCAATTGTCCTCAAATCGCTTGAAATCTCCACCTGAAAATGCCACAGCAAGAGTGTTTCAAATCTGCTCTCTCTAAAGCAAGGTTCAACTCTGTGAGTTGAATACACACAACACAAAAAAGTTACTGAGAACTCTTCTTAGTCTAGCATGAAAGGAAGAAACCCCGTTTGCAACGAAGGCCTCAAAGAGGTCCAAATATCCACTTGCAGACATAACAAGCAGAGTGTTTCTAAACTGCTCTAAGAAAAGAAAGGTTAAACTCTGTGAGTTGAAGGCACACATCACAAAGTAGTTTCTGAGAATGATTCTGTCTAGTTTTTATTTGAAGATATTTCCTTTTCTACTGTTGGCATCAAATCGCTTGAAATCTCCACTTGCAAACTCCACAAAAAGAGTGTTTCAAATCTGCTCTGTGTAAAGGGACGTTCCACTCTGTGAGTTGAATACACACAGCACAAAGAAGTTACTGAGAATTCTTCTGTCTAGCATGAAATGAAGAAATCCCGTTTCCAACGAAGGCCTCAATGCGGTCCATATATCCACTTGCAGACTTTACAAACAGAGTGTTTCCAAACTGCTCTATGAAAAGAAAGGTTAAACTATGTGAGTTGAACGCACACATCACAAAGAATTTTCTGAGAATGATTCTGTCTGGTTTTTATTTGAAGATATTTCCCTTTCTACTGTTGGCATCAAATGGCTAGAAATCTCCACTTGCAAATTCCGCAAAAAGAGTGTTTCAAATCTGCTCTGTCTAAAGGGACGTTCCACTCTGTGAGTTGAATGCACACAACACAAAGAATTTACTGAGAATTCTTCCGTCTAGCATTCAATGAAGAAATCCCGTTTCCAACGAAGGCCTCAAACAGGTCCATATATCCACTTGCAGAGTTTACAAACAGTGTGTTTCCAAACTCCTCTATGAAAAGAAAGGTTAAACTCTGTGAGTGGAACGCACACATCACAAAGCACTTTCTGAGAATGATTCTGTCTGGTTATTATACGAAGATATTTCCTTTTCTGCAATTGTCCTCAAATCGCTTGAAATCTCCACCTGAAAATGCCACAGCAAGAGTGTTTCAAATCTGCTCTCTCTAAAGCAAGGTTCAACTCTGTGAGTTGAATACACACAACACAAAAAAGTTACTGAGAACTCTTCTTAGTCTAGCATTAAAGGAAGAAACCCCGTTTGCAACGAAGGCCTCAAAGAGGTCCAAATATCCACTTGCAGACATATCAAGCAGAGTGTTTCTAAACTGCTCTAAGAAAAGAAAGGTTAAACTCTGTGAGTTAAATGCACACATCACAAAGTAGTTTCTGAGAATGATTCTGTCTAGTTTTTATTTGAAGATATTTCCTTTTCTACTGTTGGCATCAAATCGCTTGAAATCTCCACTTGCAAACTCCACAAAAAGAGTGTTTCAAATCTGCTCTGTGCAAAGGGACGTTCCACTCTGTGAGTTGAATACACACAGCACAAAGAAGTTACTGAGAATTCTTCTGTCTAGCATGAAATGAAGAAATCCCGTTTCCAACGAAGGCCTCAATGCGGTCCATATATCCACTTGCAGACTTTACAAACAGAGTGTTTCCAAACTGCTCTATGAAAAGAAAGGTTAAACTATGTGAGTTGAACGCACACATCACAAAGAATTTTCTGAGAATGATTCTGTCTGGTTTTTATTTGAAGATATTTCCCTTTCTACTGTTGGCATCAAATGGCTAGAAATCTCCACTTGCAAATTCCGCAAAAAGAGTGTTTCAAATCTGCTCTGTCTAAAGGGACGTTCCACTCTGTGAGTTGAATGCACACAACACAAAGAATTTACTGAGAATTCTTCCGTCTAGCATTCAATGAAGAAATCCCGTTTCCAACGAAGGCCTCAAACAGGTCCATATATCCACTTGCAGACTTTACAAACAGTGTGTTTCCAAACTCCTCTATGAAAAGAAAGGTTAAACTCTGTGAGTGGAACGCACACATCACAAAGCACTTTCTGAGAATGATTCTGTCTGGTTATTATACGAAGATATTTCCTTTTCTGCAATTGTCCTCAAATCGCTTGAAATCTCCACCTGAAAATGCCACAGCAAGAGTGTTTCAAATCTGCTCTCTCTAAAGCAAGGTTCAACTCTGTGAGTTGAATACACACAACACAAAAAAGTTACTGAGAACTCTTCTTAGTCTAGCATGAAAGGAAGAAACCCCGTTTGCAACGAAGGCCTCAAAGAGGTCCAAATATCCACTTGCAGACATAACAAGCAGAGTGTTTCTAAACTGCTCTAAGAAAAGAAAGGTTAAACTCTGTGAGTTGAAGGCACACATCACAAAGTAGTTTCTGAGAATGATTCTGTCTAGTTTTTATTTGAAGATATTTCCTTTTCTACTGTTGGCATCAAATCGCTTGAAATCTCCACTTGCAAACTCCACCAAAAAAGAGTGTTTCAAATCTGCTCTGTGCAAAGGGACGTTCCACTCTGTGAGTTGAATACACACAGCACAAAGAAGTTACTGAGAATTCTTCTGTCTAGCATGAAATGAAGAAATCCCGTTTCCAACGAAGGCCTCAATGCGGTCCATATATCCACTTGCAGACTTTACAAACAGAGTGTTTCCAAACTGCTCTATGAAAAGAAAGGTTAAACTATGTGAGTTGAACGCACACATCACAAAGAATTTTCTGAGAATGATTCTGTCTGGTTTTTATTTGAAGATATTTCCCTTTCTACTGTTGGCATCAAATGGCTAGAAATCTCCACTTGCAAATTCCGCAAAAAGAGTGTTTCAAATCTGCTCTGTCTAAAGGGACGTTCCACTCTGTGAGTTGAATGCACACAACACAAAGAATTTACTGAGAATTCTTCCGTCTAGCATTCAATGAAGAAATCCCGTTTCCAACGAAGGCCTCAAACAGGTCCATATATCCACTTGCAGACTTTACAAACAGTGTGTTTCCAAACTCCTCTATGAAAAGAAAGGTTAAACTCTGTGAGTTGAACGCACACATCACAAAGCACTTTCTGAGAATGATTCTGTCTGGTTATTATACGAAGATATTTCCTTTTCTGCAATTGTCCTCAAATCGCTTGAAATCTCCACCTGAAAATGCCACAGCAAGAGTGTTTCAAATCTGCTCTCTCTAAAGCAAGGTTCAACTCTGTGAGTTGAATACACACAACACAAAAAAGTTACTGAGAACTCTTCTTAGTCTAGCATTAAAGGAAGAAACCCCGTTTGCAACGAAGGCCTCAAAGAGGTCCAAATATCCACTTGCAGACATAACAAGCAGAGTGTTTCTAAGCTGCTCTAAGAAAAGAAAGGTTAAACTCTGTGAGTTGAAGGCACACATCACAAAGTAGTTTCTGAGAATGATTCTGTCTAGTTTTTATTTGAAGATATTTCCTTTTCTACTGTTGGCATAAAATCGCTTGAAATCTCCACTTGCAAACTCCACAAAAAGAGTGTTTCAAATCTGCTCTGTGTAAAGGGACGTTCCACTCTGTGAGTTGAATACACACAGCATAAAGAAGTTACTGAGAATTCTTCTGTCTAGCATGAAATGAAGAAATCCCGTTTCCAACGAAGGCCTCAATGCGGTCCATATATCCACTTGCAGACTTTACAAACAGAGTGTTTCCAAACTGCTCTATGAAAAGAAAGGTTAAACTATGTGAGCTGAACGCACACATCACAAAGAATTTTCTGAGAATGATTCTGTCTGGTTTTTATTTGAAGATATTTCTCTTTCTACTGTTGGCATCAAATGGCTAGAAATCTCCACTTGCAAATTCCGCAAAAAGAGTGTTTCAAATCTGCTCTGTCTAAAGGGACGTTCCACTCTGTCAGTTGAATGCACACAACACAAAGAATTTACTGAGAATTCTTCCGTCTAGCATTCAATGAAGAAATCCCGTTTCCAACGAAGGCCTCAAACAGGTCCATATATCCACTTGCAGACTTTACAAACAGTGTGTTTCCAAACTCCTCTATGAAAAGAAAGGTTAAACTCTGTGAGTTGAACGCACACATCACAAAGCACTTTCTGAGAATGATTCTGTCTGGTTATTATACGAAGATATTTCCTTTTCTGCAATTGTCCTCAAATCGCTTGAAATCTCCACCTGAAAATGCCACAGCAAGAGTGTTTCAAATCTGCTCTCTCTAAAGCAAGGTTCAACTCTGTGAGTTGAATACACACAACACAAAAAAGTTACTGAGAACTCTTCTTAGTCTAGCATGAAAGGAAGAAACCCCGTTTGCAACGAAGGCCTCAAAGAGGTCCAAATATCCACTTGCAGACATAACAAGCAGAGTGTTTCTAAACTGCTCTAAGAAAAGAAAGGTTAAACTCTGTGAGTTGAAGGCACACATCACAAAGTAGTTTCTGAGAATGATTCTGTCTAGTTTTTATTTGAAGATATTTCCTTTTCTACTGTTGGCATCAAATCGCTTGAAATCTCCACTTGCAAACTCCAGAAAAAGAGTGTTTCAAATCTGCTCTGTGCAAAGGGATGTTCCACTCTGTGAGTTGAATACACACAGCACAAAGAAGTTACTGAGAATTCTTCTGTCTAGCATGAAATGAAGAAATCCCGTTTCCAACGAAGGCCTCAATGCGGTCCATATATCCACTTGCAGACTTTACAAACAGAGTGTTTCCAAACTGCTCTATGAAAAGAAAGGTTAAACTATGTGAGTTGAACGCACCCATCACAAAGAATTTTCTGAGAATGATTCTGTCTGGTTTTTATTTGAAGATATTTCCCTTTCTACTGTTGGCATCAAATGGCTAGAAATCTCCACTTGCAAATTCCGCAAAAAGAGTGTTTCAAATCTGCTCTGTCTAAAGGGACGTTCCACTCTGTGAGTTGAATGCACACAACACAAAGAATTTACTGAGAATTCTTCCGTCTAGCATTCAATGAAGAAATCCCGTTTCCAACGAAGGCCTCAAACAGGTCCATATATCCACTTGCAGACTTTACAAACAGTGTGTTTCCAAACTCCTCTATGAAAAGAAAGGTTAAACTCTGTGAGTTGAACGCACACATCACAAAGCACTTTCTGAGAATGATTCTGTCTGGTTATTATACGAAGATATTTCCTTTTCTGCAATTGTCCTCAAATCGCTTGAAATCTCCACCTGAAAATGCCACAGCAAGAGTGTTTCAAATCTGCTCTCTCTAAAGCAAGGTTCAACTCTGTGAGTTGAATACACACAACACAAAAAAGTTACTGAGAACTCTTCTTAGTCTAGCATGAAAGGAAGAAACCCCGTTTGCAACGAAGGCCTCAAAGAGGTCCAAATATCCACTTGCAGACATAACAAGCAGAGTGTTTCTAAACTGCTCTAAGAAAAGAAAGGTTAAACTCTGTGAGTTGAAGGCACACATCACAAAGTAGTTTCTGAGAATGATTCTGTGCTAGTTTTTATTTGAAGATACTTCCTTTTCTACTGTTGGCATCAAATCGCTTGAAATCTCCACTTGCAAACTCCACAAAAAGAGTGTTTCAAATCTGCTCTGTGCAAAGGGACGTTCCACTCTGTGAGTTGAATACACACAGCACAAAGAAGTTACTGAGAATTCTTCTGTCTAGCATGAAATGAAGAAATCCCGTTTCCAACGAAGGCCTCAATGCGGTCCATATATCCACTTGCAGACTTTACAAACAGAGTGTTTCCAAACTGCTCTATGAAAAGAAAGGTTAAACTATGTGAGTTGAACGCACACATCACAAAGAATTTTCTGAGAATGATTCTGTCTGGTTTTTATTTGAAGATATTTCCCTTTCTACTGTTGGCATCAAATGGCTAGAAATCTCCACTTGCAAATTCCGCAAAAAGAGTGTTTCAAATCTGCTCTGTCTAAAGGGACGTTCCACTCTGTCAGTTGAATGCACACAACACAAAGAATTTACTGAGAATTCTTCCGTCTAGCATTCAATGAAGAAATCCCGTTTCCAACGAAGGCCTCAAACAGGTCCATATATCCAATTGCAGACTTTACAAACAGTGTGTTTCCAAACTCCTCTATGAAAAGAAAGGTTAAACTCTGTGAGTTGAACGCACACATCACAAAGCACTTTCTGAGAATGATTCTGTCTGGTTATTATACGAAGATATTTCCTTTTCTGCAATTGTCCTCAAATCGCTTGAAATCTCCACCTGAAAATGCCACAGCAAGAGTGTTTCAAATCTGCTCTCTCTAAAGCAAGGTTCAACTCTGTGAGTTGAATACACACAACACAAAAAAGTTACTGAGAACTCTTCTTAGTCTAGCATGAAAGGAAGAAACCCCGTTTGCAACGAAGGCCTCAAAGAGGTCCAAATATCCACTTGCAGACATAACAAGCAGAGTGTTTCTAAACTGCTCTAAGAAAAGAAAGGTTAAACTCTGTGAGTTGAAGGCACACATCACAAAGTAGTTTCTGAGAATGATTCTGTCTAGTTTTTATTTGAAGATATTTCCTTTTCTACTCTTGGCATCAAATCGCTTGAAATCTCCACTTGCAAACTCCACAAAAAGAGTGTTTCAAATCTGCTCTGTGCTAAGGGATGTTCCACTCTGTGAGTTGAGTACACACAGCACAAAGAAGTTACTGAGAATTCTTCTGTCTAGCATGAAATGAAGAAATCCCGTTTCCAACGAAGGCCTCAATGCGGTCCATATATCCACTTGCAGACTTTACAAACAGAGTGTTTCCAAACTGCTCTATGAAAAGAAAGGTTAAACTATGTGAGTTGAACGCACACATCACAAAGAATTTTCTGAGAATGATTCTGTCTGGTTTTTATTTGAAGATATTTCTCTTTCTACTGTTGGCATCAAATGGCTAGAAATCTCCACTTGCAAATTCCGCAAAAAGAGTGTTTCAAATCTGCTCTGTCTAAAGGAACGTTCCACTCTGTGAGTTGAATGCACACAACACAAAGAATTTACTGAGAATTCTTCCGTCTAGCATTCAATGAAGAAATCCCGTTTCCAACGAAGGCCTCAAACAGGTCCATATATCCACTTGCAGAGTTTACAAACAGTGTGTTTCCAAACTCCTCTATGAAAAGAAAGGTTAAACTCTGTGAGTGGAACGCACACATCACAAAGCACTTTCTGAGAATGATTCTGTCTGGTTATTATACGAAGATATTCCCTTTTCTGCAATTTTCCTCAAATCGCTTGAAATCTCCACCTGAAAATGCCACAGCAAGAGTGTTTCAAATCTGCTCTCTCTAAAGCAAGGTTCAACTCTGTGAGTTGAATACACACAGCACAAAGAAGTTACTGAGAATTCTTCTGTCTAGCATGAAATGAAGAAATCCCGTTTCCAACGAAGGCCTCAATGCGGTCCATATATCCACTTGCAGACTTTACAAACAGAGTGTTTCCAAACTGCTCTATGAAAAGAAAGGTTAAACTATGTGAGTTGAACGCACACATCACAAAGAATTTTCTGAGAATGATTCTGTCTGGTTTTTATTTGAAGATATTTCCCTTTCTACTGTTGGCATCAAATGGCTAGAAATCTCCACTTGCAAATTCCGCAAAAAGAGTGTTTCAAATCTGCTCTGTCTAAAGGGACGTTCCACTCTGTGAGTTGAATGCACACAACACAAAGTATTTACTGAGAATTCTTCCGTCTAGCATTCAATGAAGAAATCCCGTTTCCAACGAAGGCCTCAAACAGGTCCATATATCCAATTGCAGACTTTACAAACAGTGTGTTTCCAAACTCCTCTATGAAAAGAAAGGTTAAACTCTGTGAGTTGAACGCACACATCACAAAGCACTTTCTGAGAATTATTCTGTCTGGTTGTTATACGAAGATATTTCCTTTTCTGCAATTGTCCTCAAATCGCTTGAAATCTCCACCTGAAAATGCCACAGCAAGAGTGTTTCAAATCTGCTCTCTCTAAAGCAAGGTTCAACTCTGTGAGTTGAATACACACAACACAAAAAAGTTACTGAGAACTCTTCTTAGTCTAGCATGAAAGGAAGAAACCCCGTTTGCAACGAAGGCCTCAAAGAGGTCCAAATATCCACTTGCAGACATAACAAGCAGAGTGTTTCTAAACTGCTCTAAGAAAAGAAAGGTTAAACTCTGTGAGTTGAAGGCACACATCACAAAGTAGTTTCTGAGAATGATTCTGTCTAGTTTTTATTTGAAGATATTTCCTTTTCTACTGCTGGCATCAAATCGCTTGAAATCTCCACTTGCAAACTCCACAAAAAGAGTGTTTCAAATCTGCTCTGTGTAAAGGGACGTTCCACTCTGTGAGTTGAATACACACAGCACAAAGAAGTTACTGAGAATTCTTCTGTCTAGCACGAAATGAAGAAATCCCGTTTCCAACGAAGGCCTCAATGCGGTCTATATATCCACTTGCAGACTTTACAAACAGAGTGTTTCCAAACTGCTCTATGAAAAGAAAGGTTAAACTATGTGAGTTGAACGCACACATCACAAAGAATTTTCTGAGAATGATTCTGTCTGGTTTTTATTTGAAGATATTTCCCTTTCTACTGTTGGCATCAAATGGCTAGAAATCTCCACTTGCAAATTCCGCAAAAAGAGTGTTTCAAATCTGCTCTGTCTAAAGGGACGTTCCACTCTGTGAGTTGAATGCACACAACACAAAGAATTTACTGAGAATTCTTCCGTCTAGCATTCAATGAAGAAATCCCGTTTCCAACGAAGGCCTCAAACAGGTCCATATATCCAATTGCAGACTTTACAAACAGTGTGTTTCCAAACTCCTCTATGAAAAGAAAGGTTAAACTCTGTGAGTTGAACGCACACATCACAAAGCACTTTCTGAGAATGATTCTGTCTGGTTATTATACGAAGATATTTCCTTTTCTGCAATTGTCCTCAAATCGCTTGAAATCTCCACCTGAAAATGCCACAGCAAGAGTGTTTCAAATCTGCTCTCTCTAAAGCAAGGTTCAACTCTGTGAGTTGAATACACACAACACAAAAAAGTTACTGAGAACTCTTCTTAGTCTAGCATGAAAGGAAGAAACCCCGTTTGCAACGAAGGCCTCAAAGAGGTCCAAATATCCACTTGCAGACATAACAAGCAGAGTGTTTCTAAACTGCTCTAAGAAAAGAAAGGTTAAACTCTGAGTTGAAGGCACACATCACAAAGTAGTTTCTGAGAATGATTCTGTCTAGTTTTTATTTGAAGATATTTCCTTTTCTACTGTTGGCATCAAATCGCTTGAAATCTCCACTTGCAAACTCCACAAAAAGAGTGTTTCAAATCTGCTCTGTGTAAAGGGACGTTCCACTCTGTGAGTTGAATACACACAGCACAAAGAAGTTACTGAGAATTCTTCTGTCAAGCACGAAATGAAGAAATCCCGTTTCCAACGAAGGCCTCAATGCGGTCTATATATCCACTTGCAGACTTTACAAACAGAGTGTTTCCAAACTGCTCTATGAAAAGAAAGGTTAAACTATGTGAGTTGAACGCACACATCACAAAGAATTTTCTGAGAATGATTCTGTCTGGTTTTTATTTGAAGATATTTCCCTTTCTACTGTTGGCATCAAATGGCTAGAAATCTCCACTTGCAAATTCCGCAAAAAGAGTGTTTCAAATCTGCTCTGTCTAAAGGGACGTTCCACTCTGTGAGTTGAATGCACACAACACAAAGAATTTACTGAGAATTCTTCCGTCTAGCATTCAATGAAGAAATCCCGTTTCCAACGAAGGCCTCAAACAGGTCCATATATCCAATTGCAGACTTTACAAACAGTGTGTTTCCAAACTCCTCTATGAAAAGAAAGATTAAACTCTGTGAGTTGAACGCACACATCACAAAGCACTTTCTGAGAATGATTCTGTCTGGTTATTATACGAAGATATTTCCTTTTCTGCAATTGTCCTCAAATCGCTTGAAATCTCCACCTGAAAATGCCACAGCAAGAGTGTTTCAAATCTGCTCTCTCTAAAGCAAGGTTCAACTCTGTGAGTTGAATACACACAACACAAAAAAGTTACTGAGAACTCTTCTTAGTCTAGCATGAAAGGAAGAAACCCCGTTTGCAACGAAGGCCTCAAAGAGGTCCAAATATCCACTTGCAGACATAACAAGCAGAGTGTTTCTAAACTGCTCTAAGAAAAGAAAGGTTAAACTCTGTGAGTTGAAGGCACACATCACAAAGTAGTTTCTGAGAATGATTCTGTCTAGTTTTTATTTGAAGATATTTCCTTTTCTACTGTTGGCATCAAATCGCTTGAAATCTCCACTTGCAAACTCCACAAAAAGAGTGTTTCAAATCTGCTCTGTGCAAAGGGACGTTCCACTCTGTGAGTTGAATACACACAGCACAAAGAAGTTACTGAGAATTCTTCTGTCTAGCATGAAATGAAGAAATCCCGTTTCCAACGAAGGCCTCAATGCGGTCCATATATCCACTTGCAGACTTTACAAACAGAGTGTTTCCAAACTGCTCTATGAAAAGAAAGGTTAAACTATGTGAGTTGAACGCACACATCACAAAGAATTTTCTGAGAATGATTCTGTCTGGTTTTTATTTGAAGATATTTCCCTTTCTACTGTTGGCATCAAATGGCTAGAAATCTCCACTTGCAAATTCCGCAAAAAGAGTGTTTCAAATCTGCTCTGTCTAAAGGGACGTTCCACTCTGTGAGTTGAATGCACACAACACAAAGAATTTACTGAGAATTCTTCCGTCTAGCATTCAATGAAGAAATCCCGTTTCCAACGAAGGCCTCAAACAGGTCCATATATCCACTTGCAGTCTTTACAAACAGTGTGTTTCCAAACTCCTCTATGAAAAGAAAGGTTAAACTCTGTGAGTTGAATGCACACATCACAAAGCACTTTCTGAGAATGATTCTGTCTGGTTATTATACGAAGATATTTCCTTTTCTGCAATTGTCCTCAAATCGCTTGAAATCTCCACCTGAAAATGCCACAGCAAGAGTGTTTCAAATCTGCTCTCTCTAAAGCAAGGTTCAACTCTGTGAGTTGAATACACACAACACAAAAAAGTTACTGAGAACTCTTCTTAGTCTAGCATGAAAGGAAGAAACCCCGTTTGCAACGAAGGCCTCAAAGAGGTCCAAATATCCACTTGCAGACATAACAAGCAGAGTGTTTCTAAACTGCTCTAAGAAAAGAAAGGTTAAACTCTGTGAGTTGAAGGCACACATCACAAAGTAGTTTCTGAGAATGATTCTGTCTAGTTTTTATTTGAAGATATTTCCTTTTCTACTGTTGGCATCAAATCGCTTGAAATCTCCACTTGCAAACTCCACAAAAAGAGTGTTTCAAATCTGCTCTGTGTAAAGGGACGTTCCACTCTGTGAGTTGAATACACACAGCACAAAGAAGTTACTGAGAATTCTTCTGTCTAGCATGAAATGAAGAAATCCCGTTTCCAACGAAGGCCTCAATGCGGTCCATATATCCACTTGCAGACTTTACAAACAGAGTGTTTCCAAACTGCTCTATGAAAAGAAAGGTTAAACTATGTGAGTTGAACGCACACATCACAAAGAATTTTCTGAGAATGATTCTGTCTGGTTTTTATTTGAAGATATTTCCCTTTCTACTGTTGACATCAAATGGCTAGAAATCTCCACTTGCAAATTCCGCAAAATGAGTGTTTCAAATCTGCTCTGTCTAAAGGGACGTTCCACTCTGTGAGTTCAATGCACACAACACAAATAATTTACTGAGAATTCTTCCGTCTAGCATTCAATGAAGAAATCCCGTTTCCAACGGAGGCCTCAAACAGGTCCATATATCCAATTGCAGACTTTACAAACAGTGTGTTTCCAAACTCCTCTATGAAAAGAAAGGTTAAACTCTGTGAGTTGAACGCACACATCACAAAGCACTTTCTGAGAATGATTCTGTCTGGTTATTATACGAAGATATTTCCTTTTCTGCAATTGTCCTCAAATCGCTTGAAATCTCCACCTGAAAATGCCACAGCAAGAGTGTTTCAAATCTGCTCTCTCTAAAGCAAGGTTCAACTCTGTGAGTTGAATACACACAACACAAAAAAGTTACTGAGAACTCTTCTTAGTCTAGCATTAAAGGAAGAAACCCCTTTTGCAACGAAGGCCTCAAAGAGGTCCAAATATCCACTTGCAGACATAACAAGCAGAGTGTTTCTAAACTGCTCTAAGAAAAGAAAGGTTAAACTCTGTGAGTTGAAGGCACACATCACAAAGTAGTTTCTGAGAATGATTCTGTCTAGTTTTTATTTGAAGATATTTCATTTTCTACTGTTGGCATCAAATCGCTTGAAATCTCCACTTGCAAACTCCACAAAAAGAGTGTTTCAAATCTGCTCTGTGTAAAGGGATGTTCCACTCTGTGAGTTGAATACACACAGCACAAAGAAGTTACTGAGAATTCTTCTGTCTAGCATGAAATGAAGAAATCCCGTTTCCAACGAAGGCCTCAATGCGGTCCATAGATCCACTTGCAGACTTTACAAACAGAGTGTTTCCAAACTGCTCTATGAAAAGAAAGGTTAAACTATGTGAGTTGAACGCACACATCACAAAGAATTTTCTGAGAATGATTCTGTCTGGTATTTATTTGAAGATATTTCCCTTTCGACTGTTGGCATCAAATGGCTAGAAATCTCCACTTGCAAATTCCGCAAAAAGAGTGTTTCAAATCTGCTCTGTCTAAAGGGACGTTCCACTCTGTGAGTTGAATGCACACAACACAAAGAATTTACTGAGAATTCTTCCGTCTAGCATTCAATGAAGAAATCCCGTTTCCAACGAAGGCCTCAAACAGGTCCATGTATCCACTTGCAGACTTTACAAACAGTGTGTTTCCAAACTCCTCTATGAAAAGAAAGGTTAAACTCTGTGAGTTGAACGCACACATCACAAAGCACTTTCTGAGAATGATTCTGTCTGGTTATTATACGAAGATATTTCCTTTTCTGCAATTGTCCTCAAATCGCTTGAAATCTCCACCTGAAAATGCCACAGCAAGAGTGTTTCAAATCTGCTCTCTCTAAAGCAAGGTTCAACTCTGTGAGTTGAATACACACAACACAAAAAAGTTACTGAGAACACTTCTTAGTCTAGCATGAAAGGAAGAAACCCCGTTTGCAACGAAGGCCTCAAAGAGGTCCAAATATCCACTTGCAGACATAACAAGCAGAGTGTTTCTAAACTGCTCTAAGAAAAGAAAGGTTAAACTCTGTGAGTTAAAGGCACACATCACAAAGTAGTTTCTGAGAATGATTCTGTCTAGTTTTTATTTGAAGATATTTCCTTTTCTACTGTTGGCATCAAATCGCTTGAAATCTCCACTTGCAAACTCCACAAAAAGAGTGTTTCAAATCCGCTCTGTGCAAAGGGACGTTCCACTCTGTGAGGTGAATACACACAGCACAAAGAAGTTACTGAGAATTCTTCTGTCTAGCATGAAATGAAGAAATCCCGTTTCCAACGAAGGCCTCAATGCGGTCCATATATCCACTTGCAGACTTTACAAACAGAGTGTTTCCAAACTGCTCTATGAAAAGAAAGGTTAAACTATGTGAGTTGAACGCACACATCACAAAGAATTTTCTGAGAATGACTCTGTCTGGTTTTTATATGAAGATGTTTCCCTTTCTACTGTTGGCATCAAATGGCTAGAAATCTCCACTTGCAAATTCCGCAAAAAGAGTGTTTCAAATCTGCTCTGTCTAAAGGGACGTTCCACTCTGTGAGTTGAATGCACACAACACAAAGAATTTACTGAGAATTCTTCCGTCTAGCATTCAATGAAGAAATCCCGTTTCCAACGAAGGCCTCAAACAGGTCCATATATCCACTTGCAGACTTTACAAACAGTGTGTTTCCAAACTCCTCTATGAAAAGAAAGGTTAAACTCTGTGAGTGGAACGCACACATCACAAAGCACTTTCTGAGAATGATTCTGTCTGGTTGTTATACGAAGATATTTCCTTTTCTGCAATTGTCCTCAAATCGCTTGAAATCTCCACCTGAAAATGCCACAGCAAGAGTGTTTCAAATCTGCTCTCTCTAAAGCAAGGTTCAACTCTGTGAGTTGAATACACACAACACAAAAAAGTTACTGAGAACTCTTCTTAGTCTAGCATGAAAGGAAGAAACCCCGTTTGCAACGAAGGCCTCAAAGAGGTCCAAATATCCACTTGCAGACATAACAAGCAGAGTGTTTCTAAACTGCTCTAAGAAAAGAAAGGTTAAACTCTGTGAGTTGAAGGCACACATCACAAAGTAGTTTCTGAGAATGATTCTGTCTAGTTTTTATTTGAAGATATTTCCTTTTCTACTGTTGGCATCAAATCGCTTGAAATCTCCACTTGCAAATTCCACAAAAAGAGTGTTTCAAATCTGCTCTGTGCAAAGGGACGTTCCACTCTGTGAGTTGAATACACACAGCACAAAGAAGTTACTGAGAATTCTTCTGTCTAGCATGAAATGAAGAAATCCCGTTTCCAACGAAGGCCTCAATGCGGTCCATATATCCACTTGCAGACTTTACAAACAGAGTGTTTCCAAACTGCTCTATGAAAAGAAAGGTTAAACTATGTGAGTTGAACGCACACATCACAAAGAATTTTCTGAGAATGATTCTGTCTGGTTTTTATTTGAAGATATTTCCCTTTCTACTGTTGGCATCAAATGGCTAGAAATCTCCACTTGCAAATTCCGCAAAAAGAGTGTTTCAAATCTGCTCTGTCTAAAGGGACGTTCCACTCTGTGAGTTGAATGCACACAACACAAAGAATTTACTGAGAATTCTTCCGTCTAGCATTCAACGAAGAAATCCCGTTTCCAACGAAGGCCTCAAACAGGTCCATATATCCAATTGCAGACTTTACAAACAGTGTGTTTCCAAACTCCTCTATGAAAAGAAAGGTTAAACTCTGTGAGTTGAACGCACACATCACAAAGCACTTTCTGAGAATGATTCTGTCTGGTTACTATACGAAGATATTTCCTTTTCTGCAATTGTCCTCAAATCGCTTGAAATCTCCACCTGAAAATGCCACAGCAAGAGTGTTTCAAATCTGCTCTCTCTAAAGCAAGGTTCAACTCTGTGAGTTGAATACACACAACACAAAAAAGTTACTGAGAACTCTTCTTAGTCTAGCATTAAAGGAAGAAACCCCGTTTGCAACGAAGGCCTAAAAGAGGTCCAAATATCCACTTGCAGACATAACAAGCAGAGTGTTTCTAAAGTGCTCTAAGAAAAGAAAGTTTAAACTCTGTGAGTTGAAGGCACACATCACAAAGTAGTTTCTGAGAATGATTCTGTCTAGTTTTTATTTGAAGATATTTCCTTTTCTACTGTTGGCATCAAATCGCTTGAAATCTCCACTTGCAAATTCCACAAAAAGAGTGTTTCAAATCTGCTCTGTGCAAAGGGACGTTCCACTCTGTGAGTTGAATACACACAGCACAAAGAAGTTACTGAGAATTCTTCTGTCTAGCATGAAATGAAGAAATCCCGTTTCCAACGAAGGCCTCAATGCGGTCCATATATCCACTTGCAGACTTTACAAACAGAGTGTTTCCAAACTGCTCTATGAAAAGAAAGGTTAAACTATGTGAGTTGAACGCACACATCACAAAGAATTTTCTGAGAATGATTCTGTCTGGTTTTTATTTGAAGATATTTCCCTTTCTACTGTTGGCATCAAATGGCTAGAAATCTCCACTTGCAAATTCCGCAAAAAGAGTGTTTCAAATCTGCTATGTCTAAAGGGACGTTCCACTCTGTGAGTTGAATGCACACAACACAAAGAATTTACTGAGAATTCTTCCGTCTAGCATTCAATGAAGAAATCCCGTTTCCAACGAAGGCCTCAAACTGGTCCATATATCCACTTGCAGACTTTACAAACAGTGTGTTTCCAAACTCCTCTATGAAAAGAAAGGTTAAACTCTGTGAGTTGAACGCACACATCACAAAGCACTTTCTGAGAATGATTCTGTCTGGTTATTATACGAAGATATTTCCTTTTCTGCAATTGTCCTCAAATCGCTTGAAATCTCCACCTGAAAATGCCACAGCAAGAGTGTTTCAAATCTGCTCTCTCTAAAGCAAGGTTCAACTCTGTGAGTTGAATACACACAACACAAAAAAGTTACTGAGAACTCTTCTTAGTCTAGCATGAAAGGAAGAAACCCCGTTTGCAACGAAGGCCTCAAAGAGGTCCAAATATCCACTTGCAGACATAACAAGCAGAGTGTTTCTAAACTGCTCTAAGAAAAGAAAGGTTAAACTCTGTGAGTTGAAGGCACACATCACAAAGCAGTTTCTGAGAATGATTCTGTCTAGTTTTTATTTGAAGATATTTCCTTTTCTACTGTTGGCATCAAATCGCTTGAATTCTCCACTTGCAAACTCCACAAAAAGAGTGTTTCAAATCTGCTCTGTGTAAAGGGACGTTCCACTCTGTGAGTTGAATACACACAGCACAAAGAAGTTACTGAGAATTCTTCTGTCTGGCATGAAATGAAGAAATCCCGTTTCCAACGAAGGCCTCAATGCGGTCCATATATCCACTTGCAGACTTTACAAACAGAGTGTTTCCAAACTGCTCTATGAAAAGAAAGGTTAAACTATGTGAGTTGAACGCACACATCACAAAGAATTTTCTGAGAATGATTCTGCCTGGTTTTTATTTGAAGTATATTTCCCTTTCTACTGTTGGCATCAAATGGCTAGAAATCTCCACTTGCAAATTCCGCAAAAAGAGTGTTTCAAATCTGCTCTGTCTAAAGGGACGTTCCACTCTGTGAGTTGAATGCACACAACACAAAGAATTTACTGAGAATTCTTCCGTCTAGCATTCAATGAAGAAATCCCGTTTCCAAAGAAGGCCTCAAACAGGTCCATATATCCAATTGCAGACTTTACAAACAGTGTGTTTCCAAACTCCTCTATGAAAAGAAAGGTTAAACTCTGTGAGTTGAACGCACACATCACAAAGCACTTTCTGAGAATGATTCTGTCTGGTTATTATACGAAGATATTTCCTTTTCTGCAATTGTCCTCAAATCGCTTGAAATCTCCACCTGAAAATGCCACAGCAAGAGTGTTTCAAATCTGCTCTCTCTAAAGCAAGGTTCAACTCTGTGAGTTGAATACACACAACACAAAAAAGTTACTGAGAACTCTTCTTAGTCTAGCATTAAAGGAAGAAACCCCGTTTGCAACGAAGGCCTCAAAGAGGTCCAAATATCCACTTGCAGACATAACAAGCAGAGTGTTTCTAAACTGCTCTAAGAAAAGAAAGGTTAAACTCTGTGAGTTGAAGGCACACATCACAAAGTAGTTTCTGAGAATGATTCTGTCTAGTTTTTATTTGAAGATATTTCCTTTTCTACTGTTGGCATCAAATCGCTTGAAATCTCCACTTGCAAACTCCACAAAAAGAGTGTTTCAAATCTGCTCTGTGTAAAGGGACGTTCCACTCTGTGAGTTGAATACACACAGCACAAAGAAGTTACTGAGAATTCTTCTGTCTAGCATGAAATGAAGAAATCCCGTTTCCAACGAAGGCCTCAATGCGGTCCATATATCCACTTGCAGACTTTACAAACAGAGTGTTTCCAAACTGCTCTATGAAAAGAAAGGTTAAACTATGTGAGTTGAACGCACACATCACAAAGAATTTTCTGAGAATGATTCTGTCTCGTTTTTATTTGAAGATATTTCCCTTTCTACTGTTGGCATCAAATGGCTAGAAATCTCCACTTGCAAATTCCGCAAAAAGAGTGTTTCAAATCTGCTCTGTCTAAAGGGACGTTCCACTCTGTGAGTTGAATGCACACAACACAAAGAATTTACTGAGAATTCTTCCGTCTAGCATTCAATGAAGAAATCCCGTTTCCAACGAAGGCCTCAAACAGGTCCATATATCCACTTGCAGACTTTACAAACAGTGTGTTTCCAAACTCCTCTATGAAAAGAAAGGTTAAACTCTGTGAGTGGAACGCACACATCACAAAGCACTTTCTGAGAATGATTCTGTCTGGTTATTATACGAAGATATTTCCTTTTCTGCAATTGTCCTCAAATCGCTTGAAATCTCCACCTGAAAATGCCACAGCAAGAGTGTTTCAAATCTGCTCTCTCTAAAGCAAGGTTCAACTCTGTGAGTTGAATACACACAACACAAAAAAGTTACTGAGAACTCTTCTTAGTCTAGCATGAAAGGAAGAAACCCCGTTTGCAACGAAGGCCTCAAAGAGGTCCAAATATCCACTTGCAGACATAACAAGCAGAGTGTTTCTAAACTGCTCTAAGAAAAGAAAGGTTAAACTCTGTGAGTTGAAGGCACACATCACAAAGTAGTTTCTGAGAATGATTCTGTCTAGTTTTTATTTGAAGATATTTCCTTTTCTACTGTTGGCATCAAATCGCTTGAAATCTCCACTTGCAAACTCCACAAAAAGAGTGTTTCAAATCTGCTCTGTGCAAAGGGACGTTCCACTCTGTGAGTTGAATACACACAGCACAAAGAAGTTACTGAGAATTCTTCTGTCTAGCATGAAATGAAGAAATCCCGTTTCCAACGAAGGCCTCAATGCGGTCCATATATCCACTTGCAGACTTTACAAACAGAGTGTTTCCAAACTGCTCTATGAAAAGAAAGGTTAAACTATGTGAGTTGAACGCACACATCACAAAGAATTTTCTGAGAATGATTCTGTCTGGTTTTTATTTGAAGATATTTCCCTTTCTACTGTTGGCATCAAATGGCTAGAAATCTCCACTTGCAAATTCCGCAAAAAGAGTGTTTCAAATCTGCTCTGTCTAAAGGGACGTTCCACTCTGTGAGTTGAATGCACACAACACAAAGAATTTACTGAGAATTCTTCCGTCTAGCATTCAATGAAGAAATCCCGTTTCCAACGAAGGCCTCAAACAGGTCCATATATCCAATTGCAGACTTTACAAACAGTGTGTTTCCAAACTCCTCTATGAAAAGAAAGGTTAAACTCTGTGAGTTGAACGCACACATCACAAAGCACTTTCTGAGAATGATTCTGTCTGGTTGTTATACGAAGATATTTCCTTTTCTGCAATTGTCCTCAAATCGCTTGAAATCTCCACCTGAAAATGCCACAGCAAGAGTGTTTCAAATCTGCTCTCTCTAAAGCAAGGTTCAACTCTGTGAGTTGAATGCACACAACACAAAAAAGTTACTGAGAACTCTTCTTAGTCTAGCATGAAAGGAAGAAACCCCGTTTGCAACGAAGGCCTCAAAGAGGTAAAAATATCCACTTGCAGACATAACAAGCAGAGTGTTTCTAAACTGCTCTATGAAAAGAAAGGTTAAACTCTGTGAGTTGAAGGCACACATCACAAAGTAGTTTCTGAGAATGATTCTGTCTAGTTTTTATTTGAAGATATTTCCTTTTCTACTGTTGGCATCAAATCGCTTGAAATCTCCACTTGCAAACTCCACAAAAAGAGTGTTTCAAATCTGCTCTGTGTAAAGGGACGTTCCACTCTGTGAGTTGAATACACACAGCACAAAGAAGTTACTGAGAATTCTTCTGTCTAGCATGAAATGAAGAAATCCCGTTTCCAACGAAGGCCTCAATGCGGTCCATATATCCACTTGCAGACTTTACAAACAGAGTGTTTCCAAACTGCTCTATGAAAAGAAAGGTTAAACTATGTGAGTTGAATGCACACATCACAAAGAATTTTCTGAGAATGATTCTGCCTGGTTTTTATTTGAAGATATTTCCCTTTCTACTGTTGGCATCAAATGGCTAGAAATCTCCAATTGCAAATTCCGCAAAAAGAGTGTTTCAAATCTGCTCTGTCTAAAGGGACGTTCCACTCTGTGAGTTGAATGCACACAACACAAAGAATTTACTGAGAATTCTTCCGTCTAGCATTCAATGAAGAAATCCCGTTTCCAACGAAGGCCTCAAACAGGTCCATATATCCACTTGCAGACTTTACAAACAGTGTGTTTCCAAACTCCTCTATGAAAAGAAAGGTTAAACTCTGTGAGTGGAACGCACACATCACAAAGCACTTTCTGAGAATGATTCTGTCTGGTTATTATACGAAGATATTTCCTTTTCTGCAATTGTCCTCAAATCGCTTGAAATCTCCACCTGAAAATGCCACAGCAAGAGTGTTTCAAATCTGCTCTCTCTAAAGCAAGGTTCAACTCTGTGAGTTGAATACACACAACACAAAAAAGTTACTGAGAACTCTTCTTAGTCTAGCATGAAAGGAAGAAACCCCGTTTGCAACGAAGGCCTCAAAGAGGTCCAAATATCCACTTGCAGACATAACAAGCAGAGTGTTTCTAAACTGCTCTAAGAAAAGAAAGGTTAAACTCTGTGAGTTGAAGGCACACATCACAAAGTAGTTTCTGAGAATGATTCTGTCTAGTTTTTATTTGAAGATATTTCCTTTTCTACTGTTGGCATCAAATCGCTTGAAATCTCCACTTGCAAATTCCACAAAAAGAGTGTTTCAAATCTGCTCTGTGCAAAGGGACGTTCCACTCTGTGAGTTGAATACACACAGCACAAAGAAGTTACTGAGAATTCTTCTGTCTAGCATGAAATGAAGAAATCCCGTTTCCAACGAAGGCCTCAATGCGGTCCATATATCCACTTGCAGACTTTACAAACAGAGTGTTTCCAAACTGCTCTATGAAAAGAAAGGTTAAACTATGTGAGTTGAACGCACACATCACAAAGAATTTTCTGAGAATGATTCTGTCTGGTTTTTATTTGAAGATATTTCCCTTTCTACTGTTGGCATCAAATGGCTAGAAATCTCCACTTGCAAATTCCGCAAAAAGAGTGTTTCAAATCAGCTCTGTCTAAAGGGACGTTCCACTCTGTGAGTTGAATGCACACAACACAAAGAATTTACTGAGAATTCTTCCGTCTAGCATTCAATGAAGAAATCCCGTTTCCAACGAAGGCCTCAAACAGGTCCATATATCCAATTGCAGACTTTACAA